>NC_000022.11:32951988-33103503 GCF_000001405.40 Homo sapiens | reverse complement strand
AGAGCTCATTTGATTAGGTCAAGTTCACCTTGAATGACCTCCCTTTTTTTTTTTTTTTTTTTTTTTTTTTTGAGACAGAGTCTCACTCTGTTGCCCAGGCTGGAGTGCAGTGGCACAATCTCGGCTCACTGCAAGCTCTGCCTACCGGGTTCATGCCATTCTCCTGCCTCAGCCTCCCGAGTAGCTGGGACTACAGGCGCCCGCCACCACGCCCGGCTAATTTTTTGTAATTTTGGTAGAGATGGAGTTTCACCTTGTTAGCCAGGATGGTCTCAATCTCCTGACCTCGGGATCCGCCCGTCTCGGCCTCCCAAAGTGTTGGGATTACAGGCGTGAGCCAACGCACCCGGCTGAATGATCTCCCTTTTTAAAGTGAATGTGTCATCTCACATAACCTAGTCACGGGAATAATATCCATCATGTTCACAGGCCCAAGGATTATGTAAGGCATCTACACCGGCGGGGCGGGGGGCAGGGGCCGCGGGAGATCCTAGGGGACGTCCAAAAATTCTGCATACCACAACCTCCAAGATCCTTTCTATGAAGGAAGAAGTTTTTTCTTTCGGGGTCTGTTTCTGACTCTCCCTTGTTATCCAGGAAATGGGCAGATTTCCACCCAGACACAGTGAGAAACAGAGCCAGATTTCCTCTCCCAAGAGATTGCAAGGTGTGGAAAGGGCCGGGAGTGCAGGCTCGTAGACAGGGAATGGGGGTGCCAGGTGCAGTGGTTTACGCCTGTAATCCCAGCACTTTGGAAAGCCGAGGCGGACGGGTCACCTGAGGTCAGGAGTTCAAGACTAGCCTGCTCAACATGGCGAAACCCCGTCTCTACTAAAAATACAAAAAAGTAGCTGGGCAAGGTGGCAGGCACCTGTGATCCCATCTACTCAAGAGGCTGAGGCAGAAGAATCACTTGAACCCGGGAGGCGGAGGTTGGGGTAAGCTGAGATCGTGCCACTGCACTCCAGCCTGGGCAACAAGAGTGAAACTCCTTCAGAAAGAAAGAAAAAAAGGAAGGAAGGAAGGAAGGGGGGCCCAGGTGCAGTGGCTCATACCTGTAATCCCAGCACTTTAGGAGGCCGAGGTGAGCAGGTCACAAGGTCAAGAGATCAAGAGCATCCTAGCCAACATGGTGAAACCTCTTCTCTACTAAAAATACAAAAAAAAATTAGCTGGGCATGGTGGCCCACGCCTGTAGTCCCAGCTACTCGGGAGGCTGAGGCAGGAGAATCGCTTGAACCCAGGAGGCGGAGGTTGCAGTGAGTCAAGATTGCATCACTGCACTCCAGACTGGTGACAGAGTGAGACTCCATCTCAAAAAAAAAAAGGAAAAAAAAAAAGACAAAGGGACTGGGGCCCGTGAACATCAGGACTGGAGGAAGAGGAAGGAAAGGGAAACAGTTTATGGGCAAGGGGATGGGCATATGAGAGAGGCAGGGCTTGGCTACCGTATGAATGGGAAATGGAGAGAAAGAGGCAGGAAAGAATCACAGATTTCATTTCAGGTAAACATTTGGTAGGAAAAAGAATGAGAAAGGAAATTGAAAGGAATAAAACAAAAAGATTTTAAAAGCACTGCTTTCAGTTGTAAATTGCATCCTTTGGGACATGCTTTGAAAGGAACTCACAGAAACATAAATTTGCTTTGAATAATGTTGGCTGCTTGCTGTCTTTCCTTGAATGTGACATTGTGCAGGGACTGAGCCTGGTGACATATCTTCCTATTGCACATGTAGGTACCTTATCTGCCTGGTTAGGCTACAAGCAGGGTTGCCCTATAATGTCAACTGAAGCACCAAGCAGCAAGGTAAAAGAGAAGCATTTATTTTCATAGAAATGTGTGCCATCTGACATCGTGAGACATCTGCTTCATTTATTAAACACAATACTTAGAATCTCATTCCCAAAGACCCACGCCAATGCCAGACATCTGGGAATCCTGTCTGAGAGCCCTTCAAGGTCAGGAACTGTGTCTTGATCATATCTATTTTTCCTAGTTCCTAGCACAGAGGAGATACATGAGAAAAGGAGGCTTGCAATCGAACCTATTTGATTAATAAATGTAATAGCTAACATGAATACATTACTTACAAAATCTCAGAAAGCATTCTAAGATATTATTATTTTCCCTGTTTTGATTATGAAAACTGAGACACAGAGAGGTTAAGTGACTTGC
Organism: Homo sapiens; assembly: GCF_000001405.40. NCBI lineage: Eukaryota > Metazoa > Chordata > Mammalia > Primates > Hominidae > Homo > Homo sapiens. The sequence continues at coordinate 33,101,327 of NC_000022.11, read as the reverse complement.
TCAAGTTCACACAGCTGATAAATGCTAAAGCCAGAAATTTAATATAAGCATTTAGGTCTTTAGTCCATGCACCTGCCATAAGTTATGATCATCTAGTAAGGAACGGTGAGGATAATACCCTGCAGGCATTCTACCTCCAATGGCAAAATAAGACCACGAATGGATGTGAAAGAAGTTAATGCAGGCCAAGCATGGTGGCTCACGCCTGTAATCCCAGCACTTTGGGAGGCTGAGGCAGGCGGATCACCTCAGGTCAGGAGTTCGAGACCAGCCTGACCAACATGGAGAAACCCCGTCTCTACTAAAAATAAAAAATTAGCCGGGTGTGGTAGCACCTGCCTGTAATCCCAGCTACTCGGGAGGCTGAGGCAGGAGAATCGCTTGAACTTGGGAGTCTGCCTCCCAGGTGGCAGTGAGCCGAGATCGCACCATTGCACTCCAGCCTGGGCAACAAGAGCGAAACTCCATCTCAAAAAAAAAAAAAAAATAGAAGTTAATGCAGAAGCTCCCTGGGCACCAGGTATTTTCTAGAAGCACTGGAGAACAAGATGCAATCTCTGAGCTCTTGCTACTAAATGGTGGTAGTGAACCAGCAGCATCGGATCACCAGGGAGCTAATTAGAAATGCAGAATGAATGAATCTGCACCTAATGAATCATTCTGCACCTAATGAATCAAACTCTGCTTTTTGACAAGGTCACGAGGTAATACATGTACACATTAAACTTGAGTAGCACCACTCTAAAAATATTATCTAAACCAGTACAGTCCAATAAAACTTCCTGCAAGTTGGAAATGTTCTATCTCTACACTAGTAACTAGCCTTATGTGGCTATTACAGTCTTGGGCCGCATGTGGCTACACTCTTGGGCCACATGTGACCAGTACAACTGAGGAAGTGATTTCTTTATGATATTTTGATGAACTTAGATTTATTTATTTATTTAATTTTTTACTTTTTTTTTTTTTTTTTTTTTTGAGATGGAGTCCCATTCTATCACCTAGGCTGGAGTGCAGTGGCGCAATATCTCGGCTCACTGCAACCTCTGCCTCCTGGGTTCAAGCGATTCTCTTGCCTCAGCCTCCCGAGTAGCTGGGGTTACAGGCATACACCCCCATGCCTGGCTAATTTTTGTTTTGTTTTGTTTTGTTTTAGTAGAGACAGGGTTTTGCCATGTTGGCCAGGCTGGTCTCAAACTCCTGACCTCAGGTGATCCACCCGCCTCAGCCTCCCAAAGTGCTGGGATTACAGGCATAAGCCACCACGACTGGCCAAACTCAGATTTAAAAATAGCCTCATGTGTCTAGTGGCTACCATTTTAGACAGTACAGAGTCTAGATTTATTGTTCCCCTGTGTTTATTTCTCTGTGATCCAATAATCTCTGTAAAGTTTTATGAAGAGTCCAGTCTTGAAACAGCTGTTATGGAAATGCAGTGGAGGATTTTGTGTCTCTTCCTGACTCGGGCCAGAGCGTCATAGGAAGCATGGAATCACATCACTGAAGGCATTTCATGATCTGGCCAATCCTGTTCCCTGCCTGGTACACCTATGTGCCTCTTCAGCAATCTGTGCATTTTCCTATGCTTACATATTTATTGTCATCCTCTGGTGACTCAACTATATTTAATGCCAACTTCAAGCTGTCCAAGCCCACAATCAAACCTTATTAGGAAACATAATATAACCTTCAGGATGCCCTCAGCCATAAGTAAGAGGAAAGAAATGTTCACTGGGAACACGCCTTGCCCACCTTCTTATTTTAAATTAGCATCCTCGCCGGGCGCGGTGGCTCAAGACTGTAATCCCAGCACTTTGGGAGGCCAAGGCAGGTAGATCACCTGAGGTCAGGAGTTTGAGACCAGCCTGCCCACATGGAGAAACCCTGTCTCTACTAAAAATACACAATTAGCCGGGCTTGGTGGCGCATGTCTGTAATCCCAGCTACTTGGGAGGCTGAGGCCGGAGAATCGCTTAAACCCAGGAGGCAGAGGTTGTGGTGAGCTGAGATCACGCCATTGCACTCCAGCCTGGGCAACAAGAGCAAAACTCCCTCTCAAGAAAAATTAATTAATTAATTAACTTAGCATCCTCCTCTTCCACACTCCATAGCTATCTTCCACGCCTTATTTTGCTCTGTATCATTTCACACATATTCGGAGGGATAAAAAACCTTTTTCCTCTACCCTCCTAGGCTCTCTGGCTGGGACCCTGCAAATTAGACTGACACAAACTAGATTAAGAGGAGAGAAACAGAGTTGATTAACACATGGGAGAAACTTGATGATGGGTAACTCAAAGGGGTGGTTAGAATTTGGGCTTATGTAGCATCTTAACAAAGAACAATAAATTTGTAGAGAAATGATCAGACAAAGGATAATATTCTAGGCCTCTTAGGCCTCCAAGGTTGGCATCTGTGGGAAGGTAAGCATATGGGGAAACTAACAGTGTGAAGCTTGTTTATTCAGTTCCATCTTGGTTCTCACTTTCTGTCCTCTTCACGGCCATGAAACTTCCCTGGAGAAGGTGCGGTGTGGGGTGGGATTTATAACAGTCCTCATTCCTCAGAACTTTCCACTTTTAGTTAGAGAACGCCAGCTCTAGGAAGGTTTCTTTCTGCATCTATTGAATCACAAATGCCTCCAGCTCAAAGTAAGATTTGTGCCAAAAACATACTATATTTTTTATTTTTATTTATTTATTTTTTTGAGACGGAGTCTTGCTCTGTAGCCCAGGCTGGAGTGCAGTGGCACGATCTAGGCTCACTGTAAGCTCCGCCTCCTGGGTTCACGCCATTCTCCTGCCTCAGCCTCCCGAGTAGCTGGGACTACAGGCGCCCGCCACCATACCCCGCTAATTTTTTTTGTATTTTTAGTAGAGACGGGGTTTCACCGTGTTAGCCAGGATGGTCTCCATCTCCTGACCTCGTGATCTGCCCGCCTCAGCCTCCCAAAGTGCTGGGATTACAGGCTTGAGCCACTGCGCCCGGCCTATTTTTATTTTTTAAGTTTATTTATTTAATTTTTGAGACCGGGTCTTCCTCTGTCACCCAGACTGATGTGTAGTGGAGTGTGATCATAGCTCACTGCAGCCTCAAGCCTCAAGTGATCCTCCCACCTCAGCCACCAAAGTAGCTGGGACTACAGTCATGTGCCACCATGCCCGGCTAATTTTTTTTGACTTTTGGTAAAAACAAGGTCTCACCATGTTCCCAGGCTGGTGTCAAACTTCTGAGCTCAAGAGATCTTCCTGCCTTGGCCTCCCAAATTGTTGGGATTGCAGGTGTAAGCCACTGTGCCTGGCTTATATATTTTACTAGCTTATTTGTATGGCCTCATTTCAATAAAAGTTTTATGAAGGCAAATGCTAAGTGTATGAGATAGAAAAATGGACATTCCAAGGGTTTCATGTATCCAGTTATATAGTAATGGCTACCATATAATTAAGTTCTTGATGTGTGCCAGAACCATTCAAAGGACTGGACAAACATACCATTTAATTTCCTCAACAACCCTGAGAGAGCTGTGATATTATACCCGTTATTTTAGATGAAGAAACTGACAATCAGGAAAAGTACAACCACTTTCCTCTTATTTGACCTCAACTGTTAATTCTTTAATTAGCTATAGCCATATTAGAAATAATTGGGATAACAAAGGTCTCTTAATAGGAGGCTCTGGAGCTGATAATGCTAATATCCAGAGAAAGGGAGCTAATTATCTTGGAAAGAGGTGTCTTCAGAGGCTATTAAGATACAGCACTCTGTACTGACTTATGCTTTACTTGGGGAAAAATCAAATTAAACTTGATTGTCTCTTCTGCTGCTCCTTTTCTCCATATTAATACTTTAATCTGCATGGTGGGTGTTGGATGTGCACCTTACGGCTGTTTATAGCAATTGGTGAAGTACTTAACATTTTAAAGAAATTAACTGTCTGGTGAAGAGGACTCCAGAGGACAGAAGGGCAAGATATAGACAGGATGTCTGATAATTCTGCCATTCTGGGGGAAGGAGAATAAATGGAGTTGCTTTCTCCTGGTTCTCCTCCAGACTTCCTGACCTCTCTCATTTTCTTTTGCTATTGTTTCTTTCTTTTCTAATCCCCTGAATGTAGATGTGCCCAAGGCTTATCCTTGACCATCTCTTCCTCCAGTGCTGTGTTTCCTCCGTGGGCTATCTCATCCATCTGGTGTCTCAGGAGGCAAAGGAAGGGGGCCCAGGTGAGGAGCATAAAAACCCCAAGACACCCAAGGGTGGTACTTAAACACTCACTCCCTCTTTCCTTTTGTGTGTGTGGAAAATCCTCCAATTCCAGCACAAGAAGTCTCTGGGGAGTTATTTGGGGGTTCCCCAGTCTTGCCCAGATTAAAACTACAGCCAATCCTCTGCAGTAAAGAACTCAGATTTGAACATATCCAGTCATCGAGTCAATAGACCCAGATACTTTAAAAATGCTCCAGATCCGCCGGGCGCGGTGGCTCACGCCTGTAATCCCAGCACTTTGGGAGGCCGAGGCGGGCGGATCAAGAGGTCAGGAGATAGAGACCATCCTGGCTAACACAGTGAAACCCCGTCTCTACTGAAAATACAAAAAAATTAGCCGGGCGCAGTGGCGGGCGCCCGTAGTCCCACCTGCTCGGGAGGCGGAGGCAGGAGAATGGCGTGAACCCGGGAGGAGGAGCTTGCAGTGAGCCGAGATCGCGCCACTGCACTGCAGCCTGGGTGACAGAGCGAGACTCTGTCTCAAAAAAAAAAAAAAAACAAAAACAAAAACAAACAAACAAAAAACAAAAGAACAAAATAAATGTTGAATGCTAAATAACTAATAATTAGCTTCATCAATTACTTCCATGTTTCCTATCTCAACTACCTCGAGAAATTGGGTATTATATCCTTTTTTTTTTTTTTTTTTGAGATGGAGTTTAGGTCTTGTCGCCCAGGCTGGAGTGCACTGGAATGACCTCGGCTCATTGCAACCTCTGCCTTCAGATTCAAGTGATTCTCCTGCCTCAGCCTCCAGAGTAGCTGGGATTACAGGCATGCACTACCATGCCCAGCTAATTTTTGTATTATTAGTAGAGACGGGATTTTACCATGTTGGCCAGGCTGGTCTCAAACTCCTGACCTCACGTGATCCACCCGCCTCGGCCTCCCAAAGTGCTGGGATTACAGGCATGAGCCACCGCGCCTGGCCTGGGTATTATCTCCTTTCTACAAATGGGGAAATAAAACTCAGAGGAAAACAGAGTGGAGGAAGTGGGACTTGTTTCAAAAAAGCCCGTAGGTTAATTCTATGCCTAGACGCAGGAAGTAAAATCCCCACAGCTGTCAAGTGGGAGCAGGATCCAATGATCCTAGGGGAATGGGGGTTCCAGCTGGACTCCCGTACTCCAAAACTCACTGCTAGGAAGGTCCTGAATTAGTCATGAGCACTCTGGTATCAAACACGCGGGTAGGTCTATTTAAAGCTAAGGGGCTCAGGGTGAGCTGAGGACTGCAGAGGACACACTACTGGGAAGCTCAGGCACATTACGGGGAGGAAACGATGGTTGAAGCCACATCTTATTCTCTGTGACCTCCGTGCCTACCACAGGACCTAGCATAGATGGGGCACATAGCGAATACCTGTATATTGGGATAACTTATTCTGTCTCTCTTCTTTCATTTATTCCTTCATCATTTAATGAGCATTTTTATGCACCTTTTATAGGCAGTGGCAATGCACAAACATGTAAAGCCTAGTGCTGTGGGTTGAATTATGTTCTCCTCCAAAAAGATATTTTTGAAGTCTTAACCCTCCCGCTACCTGTAAATATGACCTCATTTGGAAATAGGGTCTCTGCGTATATAATCAAGTTAAAATGAAATCATATTGGAGTAGGGTGGACCCTGACCCAGTGACTAGTGTCTTTATAAGAGAAATGAGAGGACACAGTGACACAGGAAAGAAAGCCATATGACAACAGAAGCAGAGGTTGAAGTGACACAGCTGCAAGCTAAGGAACAATAAGGATTGCCGACAATCATCAGAAGCTGGAAGAAGCAGAAAGGATCCTTCCCCAGAGCCTTCAGAGGGAGCGTGGCCCTGCTGACACTTTGATTTTAGCACTTCTAGCCTCCAGAACTGTGAGAGAATAAATATCTGTTGATTTAAGCCACTTTGTGGTAATTTGTTACAGCAGCCCTAGGAAAGGAATATAGACTCCGTGGAGGAGAGAGATGCATGAACAGAACGTTGTAATACGATAAGCCAGGAATAATACAATGCAAAGTGCAATGCAATGCAAAGTGCTATAAGAACACAGGAGAGGCCAGGCGCGGTGGCTCATGCCTGTAATCCCAGCAGTTTGGGAGGCCGAGGTGGGAGGATCACTGGAGGTCGGGAGTTCAAGACAAGCCTGACCAACATGGAGAAACCCTATCTCTACTAAAAAATACAAAATTAGCCAGGTGTGGTGGTGCATGCCTGTAATTCTAGCTACTCAGGAGGCTGAGGCAGGAGAATCACTTCAACTCAGGAGGTGGAGGTTGCAGTGAGCCAACATCGCGCCATTGCGCTCCAGCCTGGGCGACAAGAATGAAACTCTGTCTCAAAACCAAAACGAAACAAACAAAAAAGAACACGGGAGAGAGTCATAAACTCTTCCTGAAGGAATCTCGTAAATGAGGTGGTATTTGAGTAGGATGTGAAAGAATGGATGAGAAGAGTTCATTAATCAAAAAAAAAAAAGAAAGAAAGAAAAAGTAGAGAAAGGCATTATGTCAAGTGGAGTTGACAGCAAATGCAAAGGACTGGAGGTCTGGGCTCGAGTGGTATTGTCAGAGGATGGCAAAGAATTTTGAAAGGCTGTAGCTAAGGGTGGGCTGGATGTGAGGCTAGGAAGTTTAGCTGAGACGAGAGTGGATCGTGTAGGAGCATGATTGCCAGGGGAGCTGTTGAGAGGAGTCACAGAGGGAATTGGAGTTGAAAGGGAGGCAGGGCCCTGGTAAAAAGATCACTTAGTGCAACGGTCCGTGCAAAAGATGGGGAGCCTCTAATGAGGACAGTGGAGAAGAGGGCTCGATTTGGCAAAATGACCAGCTCTCGTCATGTTCCAGATACGCCTTTTCCTCAGCTCCTTAGCTCCCATATCGAAATGGTTATGTTGGGGCTCAGAAAATGATAACCCTGAAAGAATGGTGCTTTGGGCTCAGAAAATGATTTCCCAAAAGTATGCTCAATGCAAGCTGAGTACTTTGAACTAAAATAGGAAGGCTTTACAAATTGCCTTAGAATAGCCGGGCAAGGTGGCTCACACCTATAATCCCAGCACTTTGGGAGACCGAGGCAGGCAGATCACCTGAGGTCGGGACTTTGAGACGAGCCTGACCAACAGGAGGCTGAGGTAGGAGAATGGCTTGAACCCAGGAGGCAGGAGGTTGCGGTGAGTTAAGATTGCACCATTGCACTCCAGCCTGGGAGACGGGAGCAAAACTCTGTCTCAAAAAAAAAAAAAAAAAAAAAAGAAAGAAAGAAAAAAAAAGAATCAAGGACTTTCTGACCACTCCCATCAGCCCCTCCATCCCACCGCCCCCACACCCAGTGCAGAATAGAATTTTACTCTGATATTCCCTTACCTGTCTTAAGAGTAGACCCACCAAAGAGAACACAATTCCCTTCCATCTCATCCCTGAAATTTGATTATCTATGGCAGGAAAGAAGACTGAGGAATGTAACCACACCTGGATGGACTTTGTTACAAGATATTGTCTCCATCTCAGGCTCATTCACATTCCAAAGAGAATCCTTTACAAGATAATTTCTGTCTCCTGGGTCCATTTACGTTTACTGAAATTATTTACTACCCCTCAAAATTACCTACATTCTCCCTCCTCTACCTCTCCCATGAAGAAGGATATATAAGCATTACTGGGTTTTGGGTAGTCACTCTCCTGTGGTTTTCCCCATGCATGTTAAATAAATTTTATGCCTTTGTCTCCTATTAATCCGCCTATTGTCAGTTCATTTTCAGAGAAGCTTCAGAGGGCAATGGAGAAGCCTTTCTTTTTCACCCCTTACAGTTACAACCATTCGGGGAAAATGTCTCCCTTATCATCAGCTTTAGATGAGCAATGAAAGTCAGACTCATTGCAGAGCTGTGCCCATGATGTTCTGAAATAGTCAAAGTTCTAGTTACATCTTTGTCCCATTTTGCAAAGAAAGGAGCTCACTCTCCTGGGTGAAAATAAGTTCACAGTTTATTTGAATGCAAATTAATTCAACCATTGTGGAAGACAGTGTGGCGATTCCTCAAAGATCTAGAACCAGAAATACCATTTGACCCAGCAATTCCATTACTGAGTATATACCCAAAAGAATATAAATCATTCTAGTATAAAGATACATGCATGCATATGTTCACTGCAGCACTATTCACAATAGCAAAGATGTGAAATCAACCCAAATGCCCATCAATGATAGACTGGATAAAGAAAATGTGGTACCTACACACCATGAGACTCTATGCAGCCATAAAAAGGAGCGAGATCATGTCCTTTGCAGGGACATGGATGGAGCTGGAAGCCATTATTCTCAGCGAACTAATACAGGAACAGAAAACCAAACACCACATGTTCTCACTTATAAGTAGGAGCTGAACAATGAAAACATAAGGACACAGGGAGGGGAACAACACATACTGGGGCCTCTTGTGGGGTGGGGTGGGGTAGGGGGAGGGAGAACATCAGGATAAATAGCTAATGCATGCAGGGCTTAATACCTAGCTAATGGGTTGATGGGTGCAGCAAACCACCATGGCACCTGTTTACCTGTGTAACAAACATGCACATCCTGCACATGTATCCTGGAACTTAAAATAAAATAAAATTTAAATTTAAAAAAGAAAAGAAAAGAAGTCCACACTTTATTTGTTCTGAGCTTAGGCAGCCAGGACATAGGCAGATCACTTGAACCGCTCCTCCCCATAGGACTTGCCCATGACTCCAAACCACCTCTATAGCCTCTGAGGAGCTGGACCTGCAGCCAATGAAATTTCTCTTCTGTATTTCTTAATTTGTTGAAGAAAATAGAAAAAAAAAAAGCCCTGGAGATTCTACATAGTCTTATTAAGGATTTAGAAGAAGAGCATAGGGCCATGCACGGTGGCTCACGCCTGTAATCCCAGCACTTTGGGAGGCTGAGGCAGGTGGATCATGAGGTCAGGAGTTTGAGACCAGCTTGACCAACATGGTGAAACCCTGTCTCTACTAAAAATACAAAAATTAGCTGGGTGTAGTGGTGGGTGCCTGTAATCCCAGCTACTCAAGAGGCTGAGGCAGGAGAATGGCTTGAAGTCAGGAGGCAGAGGTTGCAATGAGCCAAGACTGCGCCACTGCACTCCAGCCTGGGTGACAGAGTGAGACTCCATCTCAAACAAACAAACAAACAAACGAAAAACGAAGAAGAAGAACATGAAGACTATTTCTGAAATTAACTTTGAACCTCTATGAGGTGCCAGGCAACTGTAAACACATCAAATCACTAAAGTCTCACAATGAATCTCCAGGATCGGTATTACCATTTTCACTTTACAGATGTAGAAGTAAAGGTTCGGAGAGACTAAATCACCTTTCACACCGCCCTGAAGGGGCAGAGCTGGGATTTCCGTCCATGTCTATCTGACTTCAAAGTCTTTTCGCTTTACCATGCTATCATCTAGAACCTGGCCCAGACCAAGGATAAGATGTCTCTTTATTTATTTATTTATTTATTTATTTATTTATTTATTTGAGATGGAGTCTTGCTTTGTCACCCAGGCTGGAGAGCAGTGGCGCGATCTCAGCTCACTGCAACCTCCACCTCCTGGCTTCAAGCCATTTTCCTGCCTCAGCCTCCCAAGTAGCTGAGATTACAGGCGCCTGCCACCACACTGGCTAATTTTTGTATTTTTAGTAAAGACAAGGTTTCACCATGTTGGTCAGGCTGGTCTTGAACTCCTGACCTCAAGCAATCCACCCACCTCGGCCTCCCAAAGTGCTAGGATTACAGATGTGAACCACTGCCCTGGCCCAAGGATGGGATGTCTCTGATCTGGTCTCCCCCAGCTGGACACACCTGGCTTCCCTTCTAGGCATCAAATATATAGACCTGCAGCAGAGTCAGAGGAGAGAGATCTGATGCTGGATATAATTGTCATGTGAGAAATGATAGCAGGAACTGGAGTTGATCGGCTTGCAGAAGAGAAAACTCTAGGGATATGGCAATCGTCTTCGAATATTTGAAGGGCTGTCATGAGGAAGAGAGATTATGCTTATCCTGAAAGGCCTCCAAGGGTTAGAAATAAAGATGATGGATGGCAATGACAGGCCGACAGATGTCAGCTCTATAAAAGGGAGACTTCTACCATACAGGACTGGAAAGAGGGCTGCCTTGGGAAGAAGAGAGCTCCCTATCACCAGGTGTCCAAGAACAGGCAAATTGACTATATGGTACCAATGCTTTGGAAAGAATTCAAGGATTGATAAGCAAGAGAACTCAATTTCCTTAAAGGCCTCTGACAGCTCAGGCAATCTAATTTTGTGGTCTATTTATACCGTCACTGCCTAAATCAGACTTGAAATAACTATGCAATAGGAACTCTAACCCCATGGTTACATCCTGTGTCCCCAAATAATTTTGTTGGAAGTAAAACTCATGGTCTTTACAATGTCCTACAAAGCCCTACATGCTATGGCCCCATTGCTATCACTCCACTCCAGAAACATCAGCTTCCTTGCTGTGCTTTGAAAGTTCAGACACATTCCCAACTTAGAAGTTTTCCAGTGCTACTCTCTCTGCCAGGCACCTCTTCCTCCAAAATAACCCTATGGTTATCTTGCGACCTCCTCCAAGCTTGTGCCCAGTGCTCTATTCTCAGTAAGACCCTCCTGGAGAATTCTGTTTAAATTATTACCCAATCCCACATCTCCCACTTCCCATCCCCCTCAGTCTGCTCATTTTTTTTCAGTGCTTATAATTTTCTAACATAGTGAATAATGTGCTTATTTATTATTATTTATTGTCCAACTCACCTCACTAAGATGGAAGCTCCATGAGGGCAGGAATTTATTTTCTATTTTATTATTTATTTAGTTAGTTAGTTATTGAGACGGAGTCTTGCTCTGTCACCCAGGCTGGACTACAGTGGTGCGATCTCGGCTATCTGCAACCTCTGCCTTCCGGCTTCAAGCAATTCCCTGTCTCAGCCTCCTGAGTAGCTGGGATTACAGGTGCCCACCACCACATCTGGCCAATTTTTGTATTTTTAGTAGAGATGGGGTTTCACCACCATCTTGGCCAGGCTGGTCTTGAACTCTGACGGCAGGAATTTTTTTTTTTAATCATTTCATTCTCTGTTGACTCCTAAGCACATAAACAGTATCAGACACAAAGTAAGTGCTCAGTAAGTATTTGTGGAATGAATAAATGGATAAATGAATGAGACTTCATTTCATTCTCAGTCCCCTTCTTAAGAGGAAGTTCTTCTGTAAGGCTACATAAAGAAGCAGAAAAAGGTCAGGCATGGTGGCTCTGTATCTGTAATCCCAGCATTTGGGAGACCAAGGCAGGAAGATCACTTGAGCCCAGGAGTTTGAGACCAGCCTGGGCAACATAGTGAGACCCCATCTCTATAAAAAATTTAAAAATTAGCTGAATGTGGTGCACGTGCCTGTAGTCCCAGCTGCTCAGGAGGCTGAGGTGGCAGGATCCCTTGAGCCCAGGAGTTCAAGGTTGCAGTGTGCTATGATCATGCCACTACACTCCAGCCTGAGTGACAAAGCAAGACCCTGTTTCAAAAAAAGAAGGAGGAGGAGAAGAAGAGGAAGAGGAAGAGGAAGAAGAAGAGGAAGAGGAGGAAGAAGAAGAGGAAGAAGAAGAGGAAGAGGAAGAAGAAGTAGAAGAAGAAGAAAGAAGAAGAAGAGGAAGAAGAAGAAGAAGGAGAAGAAGAAGAAGAAGAAGAAGAAGAAGAAGAAGAAGAAGAAGAAGAAAGAAGAAAGAAGAAGAAGAGGAAGAAGAAGAAGAAGAAGAACAAGAAGAAGAAGAAGAGGAAGAAGACAGAAGAAACAACTTAGCATGGTAACACATCTGAATTCAGCTGTGAGGTGGATTTGGTGGTCAAAGTCAGCAAGAAGAGTTGTCTTAACAGATACTCTGTTCTGAAGAAAATGAAAGACTTATTGTCTCCTCCAGTGATTAATCGGATCTGGAGTTGCAATGACCTAGTATGAAACCAGGATACTGTTGGAACCCAGAGGAACTCGTGAGGAAGTAGATGGAAAGGAATCACGAAAAGAGGGAAATTCCCAGAAGCTCATCCATGGGGACTCAGCATGGATGATAACAATTGCTAACCATTTATTGAGAACTGAATATGTACCAGGCACTCTTTTAAATACTTTCAAAGGATTATCTCACACTGTAATTAACCTTGTGAAATAGGACCCACTATTATCCCCATTTTCCAGATGAGAAAAATGAGACATGGCAAGTTAATGTGCTCAAAGTCTTACGAGTACTAAATTCTAAACCTTAAATTCTCTAAAAGTCGGGGATTCAAAACCCTAGGCTCTTAAGCCTGTACTCTTAACTATTAAGTTCCACTCCTAAAAAACAAACAGACGAAAGTATGATTAAGTACTAGTGTCTGGATTTTGTGTGCAACTGATTGGCTAATAGTGGGACATCTCTCTGGTACTGACTGAGCCTACACATGCTCTGCCAGTAACACGGGCCTCCCTGACAACATAGCAAAGCCATCCTGCTTCCTATGACACGGACACTTTCTGAATGGTGTGGCATTCAGCCCGAGACAGATTTCCTACTGGCACAGACACGATAAAAACACTAACATTTGGACTGTGTTTTAAAACCTATGAATAGAAATATTTTTATTTGATCCTCACAGCAAATATGTGGAGTATTATAAGCTGTCTTTTTTGAAGAAGGGAAATCTAACACACACAGCTAATGAGCTGTGGTGTGGGGACTACAACCCCAGTCATTTGGCCGTAGGTGCAGTGCTTTTTCCATGATGCCATGCTGCCGTCAACCATAGAAGGTTTTCTAGACCCCTCCAACCTCTAGTATCCCCACTAGTCTATTAAAAATTGGATATCATCTCTGTGTAATTGATCCTAGATTACAGAATGGTTGAGTACGATGCAACTATATTTAGGTCTTAATTTCTGGGTTTCAGATGTAAAGTTGGGGTATATATCAATGATGTGTGTGTGTGTGTGTTTGTGTGTGTGTGTGTGTTAGGCCTGTGCTGTCCAATACAGTAGCTACTCTGGCTACGTGTGGCTATTAAACACAGTTGATCTATGATTATGTTACTGAGAAATTAAATTTTTATTTTAGTTTATTTTAGTTTATTGAGATAGAGTTTCACTCTGTTGCCCAGGCTGGAGCACAGTGGCACGATCTGGGCTCACTGCAACTTCCACCTCCCGATTCAAGGGATTCTCCTGCCTCAGCCTCCCGAGTAGCTGGGATTACAGGCATGTGCCACCAAGCCCAGCTAATTTTTGTATTTTTAGTAGAGATGGGGTTTCGCCCTGCTGACCAGGCTGATCTCAAACTCCTGGCCGCAGGTGATCCACCTGCCTTGGCCTCCCAAAGTGCTGGGATTACAGATCTGAGCCACCACGCCCGGCCTAAAATTTGTATTATTAATTTAGATTTAAATTTTAAAATGGAAACAATATAAAATACTTTTCTATTAAATTCAACATTATTGTTTTGATTGAACTCTACCTCACTTTAGCCTTTGCATGGCCTCATATAGCAGTGCTGTATACTAATGCACTTTTTGGGTACACATGTTGCTTCCACTATTATGCATAAGTACATCACTGATCCAGTCAGTGTGGATGGATTGATTCAGTTTAAATGTTTTTTTCCTACACAGCAATGCAATATTGTAACATGTATCTTTGAATGTTTTATATTAACAACTCCAATTACTGTGGTAACTATGTGAATCTTAATTGGTAATTAAATTGAAGAACTTGTTATTATTTTAATTATAATACAATTAAATTATTTTTTAGTATAAAAATAAATATGGACAAATTTTTTCTACTTAAAATAATGGAGATGCAGAAATTAATACTATGATTAGAATGGAAAAAAAATAAGAGAGTGGAAGAAAGCATATTGTAAACTTTACAATGAATGACAATTGCAATTTACTTCAGCAGAACAAATCTAAGAGACCCTCTGTTTTGAAAAGAAAAAAAGAAAGAAACAAAACAGAAAGAAAAATGTAATAGACAGTATCGAGACATTTATAGCAAATACTTGGTGAATTTGATAAGTTCCTCCTGAAAAATTAAAAAATGATTAACTGAACTAGCCACCTGGCATCAGAATTAATGTCAAAAAATTTAAATGATTTTTAACAGAATCCAAGCTTGTAGTAAGGAAAAGACTAAAAATGATATTTTACAAAAAGTGGGGCTGGGTTTGGTGGCTCACGCCTGTAATCCCAGCACTTTGGGAGGCCAAGGCAGGCTGATCACAAGGTCAGGAGATCGAGACCATCCTGGCCAATATGGTGAAACCCTGTCTCTACTAAAAATGCAAAAATTAGCTGGGTGTGGTGGCATGCGCCTGTAATCCCAGCTACTGGGAAGGCTGCGGCAGGAGAATAGCTTGAACCCGGGAGGCAGAGGTTGCAATGAGCCAAGATCACGCCGCTGCACTCTAGCCTGGTGACAGAGAGAGACTCTGTCTCAAAAAAAAAAAAAAAAAAAAAAGTAGAAGAACTTCAATTATGCCACCAAACAATTGTCCATATAATTGAAGACTTTTCTAACAATATCAAAGGTAAATTTATTCAAATATGAATAAATTGAAAGGACTTCATTTTAGCTTTAAATGAGTTGAGAATAATAGAGACACTACCCAACCTGGGGGCAGGTTGTCTCAAAATGCTTGCAAATTTAGAAGACAAAAATCTGTTATCAACCCATGACCTAAAATATGGAACTCGTAGCAAAGTTATTTTAAACTCTTTTATATCTGCCAAAGAATAATTTTACTTAGATGTGGGAAATAAAATTTTTCTATCATGGTGGATGGTGTTCAAACTATTTTAGATTTTTTTTAAAAATCCAAATTTATTGGAATTTAAAACAACAGACTGATACTATCTTTATTGCTTCATTTCACTAAGTACTATGAAAATATTTGTACTCTGAAGCATATTTTTCCGAAGCATATTCTGTGAAAGGCCTCATGTGCACAGGTGTTAAAATTCTTCAGTATATACATATAAAAGTTGTGAATTACTGCCAGTTATGGATCTATTGAACAAAATAGAAGACAATTAACTTAACAATCTTGTGATATTTGCTAGTGTTCATCAGTTGTGTGGTGGAACAGTTATACAAAAATTTACTGTATTATTAACTCCATTTGCTTGAAGCAAAATTCACCAAATCAAAGACAAAAAATGACATTGTGATTTACATTCCTAGACAATATCACACTCATATAAACAAGCTAAATTTGAAGTTTCATGGAACGAAAAGGTTTATTTGTGACTCAGCAAGACCAGTATGAGAATTTGCTGAAATTATAATTTTCATTATACAAATCAACAATAATTATATTACACATTTTTCTAATGTGAATTAATATGCAGAAGATTGTAATTGACAGTATTATGTACATTGGCTGCAAAAATGACAAGACAAATTTGAAGAACATTGTATTGATATTAGTAAATTTAGAGCTGCTTTCCAATTTTTGCAATACCCTTTTGAACCCAATGTTGATACTGAGTTGACATAAGAGTTAGTGAATTTACTGTGGACAGACATGATTTTGAAATGAATATGCTTTGGCTTCAAAGCATATTCAAAGTCAAATTGATTGTTCTAAAATGATGAGCCAGTTTTGTCAATATAGATTTAAAAATTAAATGAAAATGATGCTTTGATATTCCATTCTGTTTTTAGAAAACTTTTAAGTTTGTTTCAAACAGCTTGAGCATGTGATTCTACTGTTTATTTTTTTATTTTTCTTTGAGACGGAGTCTCGCTCTGTCACCCAAGCTAGAGTGCAGTGGCGCGATCTCGGCTCACTGCAATCTTCGCTTCCCGGGTTCAAGTGATTCTCCTGCCTCAGCCTCCCGAGCAGCTGGGACTACAGGTGCCCGCCACCACACCCAGTTAATTTTTGTATTTTTAGTAGAGACGGGGTTTTGCCATGTTGGCAAGGCAGGTCTCGAACTCCTGACCTCAGGTGATCCACCCTCCTTGGCCTCCCAAAGTGCTGGGATTACAGGTGTGAGCCACTGTGCCTGGCCAATTCTACTGTTTTTGAGAATATGCTTTATAAAATCTAAATATAGATAAAATATTTTTGATGAAAATTAGCTTATAAATTAAGATGTGCTGTCAGTGTAAAATACTCACTAGATTTTGAGGATGTTGTTATAATAAAAAGAATGTGAACTATCTAGTTGATAATTTTCCATGTTGATTAGATGTTGAAATGGTAGTATTTGTATATATTGGGTTAAATAAACTACATTATGAACATTAATTTCATCTGTTTCTTTTTACTTTTTAATGTGGTTGCTAGAAAATTTAAAATTACATATGTGGCTTACATTATATTTCTGTTTGTTTGTTTTGTTTTTTTTGAGACCAGGTCTCACTCTGTTGCCCAGACTGAAGTGCAGTGTTGCTATCATGGCTCACTGCAGCCTCAACCTCTTGGGGTTCAAGCAATCCTCCCACCTCAGCTCCCAAGTAGCTGGGACTACAGGTGTGAGCCACCACACCAGGCTTTTTTTTTTTTTCGAGAGACAAGGTCTCACTATGTTGTCCAGGCTGGTCTCAAACTCCTGGGCTCAAGCCATCCTCCCACCTTGGTCTCCCAAAGTGTTGAGATTAAAGGCATGAGCCACTGTGCCTGACCTTGCATTATATTTCTATCAGACAGCAATGAGGGTATAGACATCAATAAGACCTAGTTCCTTCCTTCAAGCAGAAAACTAAACACAGAAACAGCCAATCATAAAACATTATGGAAGTCAAGGGATGGAATTCAAAGATGCTGAAGAAGTATCAGAGAGTGTACCTAACTCAGCTTGGGGAAACCAAGGAGGACTTCTTTGAGGAGGCGATAACTGAATTTGATCTTAAAAGAGGAGTAGAGATTAAATAAATAAGAAAAAATAAACATGACTTTCCAATGGAATGGTCATTTTCAACAATGGGCTATAGGAGTGAAGTAGCAAACTCATGTGGGAGACAAAAAGCAGTTCTGGTTTACTGGGGTGTAAAGTGTAAGGAAGATATGGCTGGAGATCAGGCTGAAGAGGCAAATTAGATCATGAGGGGCCTGGTAGATTGTGCTAAGATTGGGACTTATTCTATAGGTGACAGCTAAGGGTTTTAAGTAGAGCACTCAGGCAGTAAACCCTGTAAACTCTTGCTGGGAGGTTTTCCTTTCCCAATCTGTTTCACTGTGGAAGTGGGAGTACTGATCATTTTCATTGCTTGATTGAACTGAGTCAGTGGCAGGGACCTTTCTCAAGAGATGACCTCTTACATTGTGTGGCAGCTGGTTTCGTGTCACTAGAGACAGTCCTCCCTCATTCAACACACTTCGAACTCACAAAGCTGATTAATTTAGCCTTAAATCTCAGCATTTATTTATTCCACTGATCACTATCTGATATATTATATATTTTTTCATGGTTCAGACTTTCCCCTACTGAAATGTAAGCTGAGTGAAACAGAGACTCTGTCAGTTCATGACTATATCCTTAGAGACTTTCATATAGCAAGTGCTCAGTGAGTACTTTTGAACAAATAATCACATTAGATAAGATAGTGACACCTACTGACAATGTGTAGTATTGTAATCTAGCTCTACTGCACTCTGTAATTACTTGGATATGACACCTAAGGAAGACAAATTCCATCAGCAGGGAGTCCCTATCTCTGAATGATGCTGACTTAACTGGCCCAAAATTACAACAAGTGAAAAGTCAAGGAAGGCAAATGCATACCTAGAAAATTATGGCAGCCTAGCATAGTGAAAGAACAGAGACTTGAGACTCACATTGACATGGGTTTTCCTCCCCACCTCAGGTATTTACTTGCTGTGTGACACTGGGCAAAGTAATTCACATCTCTAAGCCTTAATTTCCCCATTCATAAGAAAAGGCAATAAAACCAACAGTGTTTTGATATTAGAAATGATATATTTAGAGTGTCTACTGTAAATGGTAGTTTATTATTTTTATTTTTATTTTTATTTTGAGACGGAGTCTTCACTGTGTCACCCAGGCTGGAGTGCAGTGGCATGATCTCAGCTCACTGCAAGCTCCGCCTCCCGGGTTCACACCATTCTCCTGCCTCAGCCTCCCAAGTAGCTGGGACTACAGGTGCCCGCCACCACGCCCGGCTAATTTTTTGTATTTTTAGTAGAGATGGGGTTTCACCGTGTTAGCCAGGATGGTCTCGATCTCCTGACCTCATGATCCACCCACCTCAGCCTCCCAAGGTAGTTTATTAAGTATTAGTTTCTGTATAAGGCTTTATGGAGGGGAGGGAACTTGTCTGTTGCTAACTATCTCTCCTTCATTGTGGTCCGGAAGGAGCTTTGAAATCATTCCCATGCATTTGGTTTTTCAGAGAAGGTATTTCTCTGCTCATTTCATTGCAGGCCATTTCCTGGCCTTGCACAGTGAGTGAATAAGTAAATGCGTAGATTGCTCAGACTTCTGAGATCAGAAACCTTTCTCAGGAGGTTTTCCAGGCACAAGAAAATCAATAGCAGATGTCAAGCAGCTTCAAAGCTGATTACCTTGAAATGAATGGTCACACCTCCTTTCCAGCCAGGTCTCCATCTTTCTCTTGTTCAAGGGTCAGCTGCAATACATTAGATCCCTAATTAAGAAAGAAGATGATCAGCAAATGACTCCTCTGAGCAGAATACTAAACAACCGGAAGGGTCTTGGAACAGATCTGCTGGCATCTGCACAGAGGAAGAACATGTAGATAGAATTGAAGCTGCCTTAATTGGTAGTGGTGTAGGGATTGTATTTCACTGCTCTGCTGGGAGTAATAAAGGCCGACATTATAATCAGTGCGGCAGTAGAGAAATGGAAACTTAGAATCTGAGCTGCTCTGCTATTCAACTAGAGCCAGTGAAAAGGAAATGGATACTCTTGGCTGGTTGAAAATGTAGAGCCTCCACCAAATAATTAAAATACCCTTGGCAGGGTAAAACTAGACCCTACACCTAATAATAATAATAATAACAACGACAATAACAACAATATTATCTATGGAGTGAAGCTGACCTCGATTTAAATTCTTTGTCTATTACCCATTTAGCCTAAAGCATATTGCTTAGCCTCCCTGAATCTCCCTGAATCTTATCATTTATAAAATGGGATCATGGAAAATGTTAAATAATTAATCTATCATAACTGGCAGAATTCCCAGCACAGAGAAAGCTTGCAGACAATGAAAATCTCTTTCTCCCCTCCCTTTCCCTATGTGCTATTCAAAGTGTCTTTATATTTGTCAGATGTTCCCAGTCTAGGTTCTGGATAGACATGAGGGTAGAAGGCTACAAAACCTCTGGTATTTTATGCAAAATGTCATATGAATGTGGTCTTTTCTGATGAGCATGTCCATAGTTTTCAGCAGATTCTCAAAAAGGGTTAATCTCTCAAAAAGTTTGAAAAAATCCCTGGTATATTTTATCTTTCTTTTATGACTTGGCCTCTGCTTCCCCCTGCACCCGTATTGCCTACTGTTTTCTTCCTCATCACTGTATTCCAGCTACTCTGACTCCCTTTATTCCTCAAAGATGCCATGCTCATTCCTGCCTCAGTCTTTTACTTATCATTCTTTCTCCTCCCTACGTCTTCACATGCAAAACTTAGCTCACAGGTTACTTCTGGAGATGGTCCTTCCCTGACATCCTAATCCAAAGAATCTTCTCCAGTTACTTTCTATTGTATCAGTATTAATCTGTTCAGGCAGCTATAGATTGCTGCATAGACTGGGTGATTTAAACAATAGACATTTATTTCTCACAGTTCTGGAGGCTGGGAAGTCCAAGATCAAGGTGCCAGCTAATTCAGTTCCTGGTTAACGTTCTCTTCCTGACTAGTAGATGGCCACTTTCTCATTATGCTGTCACATGGCAAAGAGAGAGTGATTACCTTCAAAAGGCCCTATGTCCACATACCTCACACTGGGGAATAGGGATCCAACATATGAATTCTGAGGCAAAACAGTTCAGTCCAGAACTGTGTGCCAATTACTACAAGAGTGGATGGATGGATGGATGGATGGATGGATGGATGGATGGATGGAAGACAGATGGATGAACGGATGAGCAGATGGATAGATGGATGGATGGATGACTTTTGAGTGCATCCCTGTAAGGCATAGAAGAAAAGTTTCTTTTCCCATTTTACAGATGGGTAAACTGAACCGAGGTTCAGTGCCTCAGAAAAGGCTTATGGACAGCAGTTAAGAGTATTCTCTGGAGCTAACTGCCTGAATTCAAATCCCAGCTTTACCACTTATAAATTATGTAACTTTGGGCAAGTTACTTAATCTCTCTGTTCTTCAGTGTCCTCATCTGCAAAATGCTGCTAATAATTATATATGATATTAGTCATTAGAGCTGTTCACCAGTATTCTGATTCTTCCACTTCTAGGCACATAAGCCATGTGTTCCATGCCCACGTGAAGTTAGGTCTGGATATCAAATGTGAGCTGAAGTGTCTGTGTCATCCCCTTGTGGAAACTTTTAAGAGCTAATGTGAGATTTGCCCTTTCCTGTTCTCTGACATAAAATCTGAAACATTCTGTATGAAGGTCATTTTCTTAGCCTGCATCCTGGGGTGAAGACAGAGTGGAACGGAATTCCCATGAACCTACAACGAACAAAGAGCACGAGTGAGAAACAAACTACTGAGATCTGGTGGTTGTTTGTTATCACAGCATAACCTAGCTAAGCTTGACAAATACACATATATACCAACTTACTGAGCTCTTGTAAGAATTAAATGAGGTGATGCAAGTAACATGATTCAAAAACATCTGGCACATAGTAGACACTACATAAGTGCTTGCAATAATTATTACTCAGTGAATGTCGAAGCTAAGACTAAAACTCATGTTTCCTGGGGCTATAATTATAAAACAAATTTTACTGCACTTTTTAATTCTTAAATCTACAAAGGAACATTTGAGAGGAAGAGGGGAGGATCCACAGAAGCCTTCCCTCCACATGCCTGCCACCTCTGGCTCTAAGAAACCCAGCACCTGGAGGCAATGAGGACAAGTTCCTGAGCACATGCAAGAGGACAGTCCCCCTGATAGCTCTCTTGTGCTCTGCCAGGCCAATGATGCCATTGTCGGAGAAAAGAGCCATGATCAATTTTCATGGGTTTTGCCCTCAACGGGTCATTCCTGTTCATCTTTTCCTTCCTTCTTCTTTTCTTGGGGGCTCAGAGTAAAATTATGTCTTAAGGGGAAAGTTCCAAGCAGCACTACTTGCTAGGTTCTTCTAAGCAGAATGGACAACTCATTTATTGCCAACCAACTTTGTAAGGAAACTAGAGTTTCCTTAAACGAACTGGGTTGGTACCTCTGAAAAGCTTAGAGACACTTGAAAACAAATAATAGAGTGTGATCCAGTCTAGTCTATCTTATCAGTAACATAGCAGTGAGGAGTTAATAGGCATCAAAAATAATAAAAGTTGTAGGTAATAAGAATGATAACTAGATGGCCAGGTGTGGTGGCTCACGCCTGCAATCCCAGAACTTTGGGAGGCCAAGACGGGCAGGTCATGAGGTCAGGAGATCGAGACCATGCTGGCTAACACAGTGAAACCCCATCTCTACTGAAAATACAAAAAATTATCCGGGCGTGGTGGCGGGCGCCTGTAGTCCCAGCTAGTTGGGAGGCTGAAGCAGGAGAATGGCGTGAACCCAGGAGGCGGAGCTTGCAGTGAGCCGAGATCACGCCACTGTCCTCCAGCCTGGGTGACAGAGTGAGACTCTGTCTAAAAAAAAAAAAAAAAAAAAAAAAAGAATGATAACTAGATATCATGGAGACTTATGTCAGGCACCGCTGCCTCTAAGCGCTTTATGTACCTTAATCATTTAATCATCACCCTACACTACTAGGGAGTTACTAGTATTACCATCCTCATGGCATAGATGAGAAACTGAGGCACAAGAAGCTAAGGAACTCAACACTGACACCAAGTAGAGCCAGGTTCAAGCCCAGGCCATCCAGCTCCAGCATCCATGCTTGTAGTTAGTGTGCTGTGTTGTCTCTCACCTGTTTAAGGTGTTACGTAGTTTCACACTTCCATGCCTTTGCACGTGATATTTTCTCTCACATTTTAAAACTTAGATCAAGAGACATCTCATCTGTGGAGCTTGCCCTGACCTCGCCTCTAACCCTCTCCTTTGAGGCAGTCACTTACTTTTCTGTGACCCTCTGTGCCTTTATTACAACAAATTTCACACTAAGTCATGAGTAATTTAGGGGAAGAGACTACATCTTAATAATCTTAGCATCTCTGGTATCTTGCACAGTCCCTGGCACAAAATAAAGGCTAATTCAATGTTGTTGAATTGATTTGTAAGGATTCAAAAAACATGAGTACATAGAGGGCAATACAATATAGTGACAGACAGCATTGGTTGTGGAGTCAGACTGCCTGGCTTCAAATCCTGGTCAGTAATTTTCATAACTAACTGGTATGACCATGGACATGTTAACTTATTTTTCTGTGCCTCGATATTTTCCTCCTATACAATGGGTATAATAACAGTACATGTTGTAATGGATTATTACATGGATTAAATTAGATAATGTAGCAAAGAACTTAACCTGGGTCCTGGCACATAGTAGGTGCTCAATAAATATTGGCTCCTACTGCCTGAGCTTCCTGGTACATTTCTCGCTAAAGATGTATTATAGCTATGCCTATCACTGACTAATGAGGAAAGAGCCTCATATGAATATGGCTAAATGATGACAATTTGGCAGACTTAGAGGTGTAAACCAAATTATCTGTAAAGCTGCAGGACTCTAGTTAATGTAGTCCATGACCAACAGCAATCAGCAAAAGCACTCAGCATTTTTTTTCCATTCAGATGGATGGAGGCAAAGCAGTCAAAACTAGGGAAAGAGAAATCACCGGAGAAAATTGATTACACCATTACCAGTTATTTTCTGGGACAATACTAATATAGCTTTCATTATTTCTTTTTTACGCCAGTCTTCTACTGCAAATTGCAAATAGTACATGCAGTTCAGATTTCACTCAAAAGGAGACTAGTTTTGAAAAAAAAAAGGAAACGAAACAAAGGTGCATAAACACCTTCATCCTAGATGGACATGAACTACAGATTATTATACTCAGTGTATAAGTGAAATGTAAAGTGAAGAATGTTCAGTATTAAAATTTAGACTAACGATGAAATGAACCTTAAACTGCACCGTCAGAATTATTTTAATAACTGAATTAGAGGTGAAGACAGTAAACCAAAAAGCATAAAATGTTCTAATCCCTGTGTTAAGATGATCAGGTAAAATATGCATAATATATGTTTAGGATCTACATGCTAATTGTACTGATTGGAAAAGGCATGCACAAATACCCCTTCTCTTTCTATCCCCTCAAGGAAAAAAGATTAAAATATTGGAAATTCATCTCGTTTTATTGTGAGGCTGTTATAGCTCAGTATTAAAGAAAGACTTGATCACTTATAGAAAATGCCCCTTTCATATCCAATCTGCTCTCCACATTACTAACATTAGGGAATCCAAATATTAAGAAGCAGTAAAATGGCGTCTTATTTAGATGTATTAGTCTTATAAAACCTAAATAAGAGCCCAGATTTCTAAACAGCCTAGGTTTAAATCTGAGTGCCAAAAGTACTATATGACTCTGGGGTAGTTACTTAGGCACTCTATGAGGTTCCTCACTTTATAATGGGAATAATAATAGTACCTAGATCATGTACTATTGTAAGTAATTAGTAAATTAGTATGCCTGGTACATAATAAGCACTCAATAACTTTAATCATTATTATGTAACTTGTATGTACTATTCCTAAATCTCCTTTTGAAAAGGAATGCAAACAAGGAGTAATAATAATAATAACAATAATACATAGCACTTACACTGTTGCAGGTTCAGTTTTGAGCATTTCTTGTGTATTAACTCTTTTGATCCTCATAGCAACCTTTTGAGATAGTCTTACTGGGTAGAAGTGACATGACTTGCTCAGGGTCACACAGCCAGTGAGTAGTACAACCCTGATAGGAACCCTGGCAGTCTGATTCCAGAGACCTCCCACTTGAGCATTAAATATGTATCCAATTCTTTGAGCACTGTGACTGAATTTATTCACTATTCACTAAAAAGAAAATCCATTGAGAATGAACTCTGGGTCAAGTAACATCCCAGCTCTTAAGATACAACGCTAAAGAAGAAAGAGTCTCTCAAAAAAGTTACAATTTCTATAGCTATATGGCTTATCTTAAGCTTATCTGTGTTTATTTTGTTTATAGACATATGGATAAACACTATTGGACAGATCTGTAGGCTTTTATGAAGTCTAACTCTTTCCCTTTTACCTTTCCCTCTTCCAGCTGAAACATTCACACTTGAAATCTGAAGGACTTGTATAATACAATTCAGCACCACGGACAGCAGGAAAAATCCCATTGACAGAATAAATCTGAAGTTTTCCTTTCAGTATTCATGAAAATCTGGTGCTTCAAAACAGATACACACACATCCAATTAGGTACTCAAAAATATCTTCAGAAGAATCCTAGAAATTACAAAACACAAGTCCTTGGAACAGAGAATGAAAATTGCATCCACAAGGCCACATAGCCAAAGCCAAGAACTAAGCTCCTAGAACTAATCTACTTATAATAAATCCCATCACAAGTATACTGTCACCATCAAGCAGAATTGTGTGTATCTCCAGTGACATGGGTGTGTTTACTATGGCACTTTCTCAAATAGGAATTAAGGAAGAAGTCACGTACTCTGATTTAAGTGCCAGAGAAATATCTTATCCAATCAGTTAGGGAGACTTATTTCCTAACAGTATAACTTATTATTTCCTGTTTCCTAATATTTTTGAAGTCATGGGTTGAAAATGAGTTTCAAGGTCAGGTAGAGGAGAAATAGATTCAAGTTACTACTGCCCTTGCCTTAGACACTGAATTTCTTTGACCTTGTTGAATACATTAGAATTCTTTCCAGCCTATCGATGTTTATTAGATTTGATATTGCCTAATTCTGACATCCCAAAGGAAGGTGACTCACTCGCAGTAAACGTGTTATCATTCTCTAAGGATATGTCTAATCTGCATGACATCGTCTTATCTGGAAGACACATTTTAGGTGGATAGTCCCCAGAGCTCATGAAAGGAAAATTTTCCATTTGTTATGTTTCTCTAATCCTATTCAATTATAACAGCTATGAGAAGCATCTTTGAAGAGGAAGGAATGTGATACCGTGAAGGAAAATAGAATTATAGATTTAATTACTCAAGACCATATTTACTATAATAGTCAGTGCAAAGCTTTTCAAAGAAGTCTTCATTGAGTAAATAAGAATTGTCATAAATCTTTCTCCTCCAAGATCCTTTCAACAATTATTCAGGTTCTACCACCTACTAGCTATGTAATTATGGAAAGTTACTAACATTCTCCAAGCCTCGGTCCCCTTATCTATACAATGAGGGCTGTTTTACTTAGGATTCCTCACTGGAGCATTGAGGAATAATGAGACAATTTCTCACCACATGGTGTAGAATTGTAGGAAACAGAAGCAGAGGAAATGAGGCCCAGGTGACTGATTCACCTAAGGAAGATCAAATACATTTTTTGATAAAACAAATTAAGTAAATCCTCCTACAGATAGACACAGGATTTTCTTTGTCACTACTGATGAAATTCTTCAACTATTCTAAAGTTAGAAGACCACGGTATTTGGAGTAAGAAGATCTGGACTTGATTCCAACTCTATCACATAATAGCTACCATATCTCCCTCCCTACCAAGACTTTACCTAGCTACAGAAACATAGCTATTTCACTGAAATGGTGGCTATCACTGTCTCTTGGTAAAGAATCCAATTAGCTACTTGGATTAAAAGAGAGAAGCAGGTGTTGCATAATGGTTAATAGTTCAGGCTATAACACTGGTACGCATTTAAATCTTGGTTCCAACACTCATTGCCTGAGTAACTTTGGCCAAGTTACATAAGCTCGCTAAGCTTGGAATTCCTCATCAGCAAAATGTAGATAATATGAATAACTATCACATGCCTATGTTATGATGATTTTAAATGTTAACATGTGTAAAGCACTTAGAACAGTATCTGGTACAGAATAAAAACTCAGTAAATGTCAAATATATAGAAAACATGCTGGACTAAAGTAATCCAGGCCCCTGGGGCAAGGACCCCCTTCACTTACTTCCCAGATATAAGACTAAAGACAAAGGACCCTTTCTCCTCTGTAGATCTGCTTATTATGGAACTATGATTTTTTTCTTTTTTTCTTTTTTGTTTGTTTGTTAGTTTGTTTGTTTCTAAGATGGAGTCTCACTCTGTCGCCCAGGCTGGAGTGCAGTGGTGTGATCTCGGCTCACTGCATCCTCCGTCTCCCTGGTTCAAGCAATTCTCTGGCCTCAGCCTCCTGAGTAGCTGGGACTACAGGCACGCGGCACCACACCTGGCTAATTTTTGTATTTTTAGTAGAGATGGGGTTTCACCATGTTGGTCAGGATGGTCTGGAACTCCTGACCTCAAGTGGTCTGCCCACCTCGGCCTCCCAAAGTGCTGGGATTACAGGCGTGAGCCACCACGCCCAGCCGGAACAATGACTTTTACATATTTATTTTTCTTAAGGCCATTCCTTGCTCAAATCATGACTCACATTGCGGTCATGATTATGGAGGAAAATCATATCAAAGGTACTTTATTGCAACTCACAACAATGTATGAATGAGTGGAATTCTATGGAGGAGAGATGTGGGAAGCGGTCCCGGTAAAGGAGTAGGTGATCCTGGCCATAAAGAAGAAGAGTGAGGAGGGGGACACAAAGCCAAGCCACATGTTCTCCTCCTGACATTTACAAGTGCTGAGCTACATCTCAGCTGATTCACCCAGTCACGCTGCTTTCCTGTTGACATCAGTCCAGAGGATAGAAACATAATATGAATCACCAGAATGAGCAGACAATAAGCCCGGATGAGTTTAAGGGGAAAGGGAGAGAGTGAGAGCCAGGAAGGAAGCTTCTAGTTAGGAAAGGTAGGAGATGTGGATGCCCTCATGCTGCCATGGGAGGATTATAGGAATGGTATTACTTACAGTCGCTGTCTGCAGGGCTGTTGTCTGGAGTACAGATGATAACCCCAAACATACATGTGAAGGAGGTAAGGTTTATTAGCATGTATATGTTCTCGGCTACCAAATCCTTTACCTCACTCGTATTAACGCAATTTTCTTTTTACTTGGTTAGCAATCAGTGATGTTTTGGCTTGCTATCCCAATTTGTAGGGTTTTGTGATATAAATTCAAAAGAATATGAAGAATGTGAATGGGAAGCCAGGCTCAGAGATCCAAAAGGAATGCCAAGAGGAAATAAAAATAAAAGTTGCAGGGTTGGGTGTTAGAGAGAGTGGAGGAGACTTTATGAGGGGTGGGCTCTAGAGCATCTAAGAGGTGGGAGAGAATGGAGGGAAAGGTTAAGGAGGAGTTTAGAAAATTGTTCTAGGTTATAAAATGGATTCCATGTATTGGTCTTCAAGAGAACCCGGCATAGCTTAAAACTCCTTTAAAATTCCTTTTGATTGGTAGATTGGACTTCTAAAATATGATTTTTAATATTCAGAGGCTGGTCCAGGGTTCAATAATCAGGGTTACGTGTGTGCACACAGATCCTTCAAATTTCAGCCCCACTCTACAGAGATGGATTGGGACCTGCAAGACCCTTTATTGTACTAAAGAGTTGTTGATGAAGGCAAATGAGAAAATGTCTGCAAAGTTTATTTAAACTTTAGGAATGAAGTTTAAAGTACATAAAACAAAATCCTCTGTCTTTTCCTGAACAGAAATAGAAGGCATTTCACCACTACCCCACCCCATATGGGGGAAGAAAATCGGTCAACAGACGACCTGTTTAAATTGGATGAGAGTTGACATGATGTTCCCATCATCAGGGAAATTATGAACTGTAATGATAGGAAATGTATATCCCTCGAGACGGCCGCAGGAAAAACTGGTTTTCTCCCTTGCCTAGAAATGTCTGTGCTGAGCATTATTAACAGGTGGTGCAGCTGGAATGAAGGCCAGCCCTGGCGTTTCATAGATCAGTGTTTGACAGCCAGGACTACGAACAACCTTCATTGGCATGAGCTGGACCGGAGAATGGATGAGAAAAGGTCTTCAGGCTATGCCCTGTGGTCTGGGGTGGGTGACACTGAGTTTGGATTTAGACTTGGGAGAGAGAGTCAGAATTGGCTTTATGAGAGAATGAGATTGTGCCAAGCTGAGAAGTGCTCCATCACTGACCCACACTAGCCCACCACCGACCAATCCAGGCTATGTATCAGTATCTCCACGGAATATTTTTAGAAATATACATTCTGGTACTTTACCTTTAGAGCCCTGATTCAATAAATCTCAGATGAGACCTGAGCATCACTTTTTTATGAGCTTCCCAAATGATTCTGGTGAAGTTTTTCCACCAGCAGGAATTTAAAAACCACCAGTTAATTCAATCACAACTATCTATTGTCTCCTGATCAGCCAGCTAAGAAAATGATTCCCCTTGCCATGAACCAGTCAATCAGGGCCTTTTTATTCTTTTTCATTTCCCTGGAAAATCCTATCCAGGACAAAATGAAGAAAAGTGCTCCAGCCTCTCTTAAAATACCATACAGACATCTCCTCCTCCTCCCCCACCTCCTCCTCCTTCTCCTCCTCCTCCTCTTTTTCTTTTTAATTTGCACATCAAAAATAAAACAGAGCTTAACTGTGTACACAGCCTACATTAAAACAGAAATATGTTTTGCCTCATAGGCATTTTTGAGCAGATCTCGAGAGACAGTCTTTTGGACCCAGGGATGTGATGGTGTCACATGAGGGAGGAGTACGTTCTGCATGGGGAGGGCAGGGAGGTGGAAACCAGAAGCAAGCAACCCACTTGGTGTCCAGTAAAGTGATGGTTCCCATCAGGGTTTGGGCTATAAAGGACCTGTAGTGCTCCAATCTGCATTTAGGGGATCAAAACAAGATCAGAAACGGCCGGGTAGTAGCTCCAGAACAGAGAATCCAGAGGCTTGATAGCCCCACGTGGGAAGAGTCAGGAACAGCCAGGTAGGAAGGCTGGGGCCTTGATCTCGGCAGGCCAATTAAAGAGACCTCATCTCTGACTGGCAGCACAGCAGTTCCCAAACGTGGGCCCCTGGACATCAGAAGTAATCAAGTAACTAGTTTCCAGTACAGATTCATAGGCCCTTCCCAATTTCTGATCCTTGCCACTTTCTGTCTTATTTATTATGCTAGTCATTCCACCAGTCCATAAACATGTATTAATATAAAGTATCTTCTACATGCTTGCTGGTCTGTTAACTGTGTGAGAACAGGGGCTCCATGTGTCTTGTTCAGCCTCAATGTGTAGTACAATGCCTGAAAACAATATGCATGTATTCATTTAAAAATAGGAGCATGTGCCTATTATCTGTCCAGCTTATCTAGGCACTGGGATACAGTGATCGACAAATGTGCCCCCTACAACAAAAATTTCAGAGTCTAGTGGAGGAGACAGCCCAGGAATCAATACATCACAGCATCATGACACACACTTTAACAACGTGTATAAACATCTCCTACCTACTGAATCCACTTTCACATAGGAGCCAGAGAGATCTTCCCAAAACTCAAATCCAGACACTGTATTTCTTAAAGGCAACCCATAAATATCTTCATAGCCTGTGGCTCCTCTTCCCAAAGTGGGGTCTGTAGAATCCAGGTACATAAGTGTCTGGGAAAGAAGTTCTCATGGTCAAAAACCTTTGGAAGACTCTGGGTTAAACTAAATGAAATCAATCAAGTTTCTTTAATGCAGGATTTGTCAGAGGCTGCATGATACCAACATGTCTTGCAAATCTCCAAAAGGGTAGGAGGTAGCGTTCACTACTTTCTCATTCTTATTTGATGTTGGCTTTTTTTATTTTTTTTAATTTTTTATTTCTGGCATGTGTTGAAGGACTAGTGTTTAGAAAACAGACTTTGGAAATTCTGGCTGATCACATCACGCCCAGCTCTCCACGATTGCCTGCCAAGCCTCTGCTCCCACTCCTGTTCTGTTGTTGCACTTTAAGAAACCCAAACTACTTTTTACTTTCGAGCCTTTGCTCATGCTGTTCACCCTTCCGGCACATTTCCCCAAGTCCTATAACTTCTCCCAGAACACACAAAATGTGCCTGGAACACTCACACATGTTCTTGAAGATTCCCCTCAGACACCACCTCCGCCAGAAGCCTCAGCTGTTCAGGTGCCTCTTCTCTATGTTCTCACAGTCCCGCCCCCTGCACAGTACTTAGTGTGCTATGCTCTCACGGTTGCACAGAACAAGAGCTTTTGGAGGGAAGGGGTCATTACAAGGCTTTGTTTATCTCTGTTGTATTACCAGGGCTTTTCAGTTTGTTGCTATTGATATTGGGGCTGGGTAATTCTTTGTTATGGGGGCTGTGCTGTTTGCTTTAGGATTTTAAAAGCATCACTTGCCTCTACCCACTAGACGCCAGTAGCACCACCACCACCACCTTCTCTAACCCACCCCACAAGCTGTGAGAACCAAAGATATCCCTAGACATTGCCTGATATCCCCAGAGGGATCGAAGTCATCTCTGGTTGCAAACCATTGTTCTATACATAGCACAGTATGTATATTAAACAAATATATATGTATATTAAACAAATATTTACTGAACATGTACTAGACCCCTGGCCCAGTGCCAAGCACAGGTAATACAAATGTGAACCAAACACATACTGGGCATTTAAGATGCTTGCAGGAATTGCAGGTCCTTGCAGGAATTGAGAAATAAACAGACATTATTAAGAATGTAATAACAGGCCAGGAGCGGCAGCTCATGCTTGTAATCCCAGCACTTTCGGAGGCCGAGGCGGGTGGATCACCTGAGGTCGGGAGTTCGAGATCAGTCTGACCAACATGTAGAAACCCCATCTACTAAAAATACAAAATTAGCGGTGTGCGATGGCGCATGCCTGTAATCCCAGCTACTTGGGAGGCTGAGGCAGGTGAATAGTTTGAACCTGGGAGGTGGAGGTTGCAGTGAGCCATGAGCCAAGAACGCGCCATTGCACTCCAGCCTGGGCAACAGGAGCAAAACTCCGTCTCAAAAAAAAAAAAAAAAAAGAATGTAATAACAGTCATAGTTGCATGAAGCAGAGAGACATTTACCTATTTTTTTGATTTGTTTT
Source organism: Homo sapiens (assembly GCF_000001405.40). Lineage (NCBI taxonomy): Eukaryota > Metazoa > Chordata > Mammalia > Primates > Hominidae > Homo > Homo sapiens. The sequence continues at coordinate 33,069,751 of NC_000022.11, read as the reverse complement.
ATATCTAGAGCTCCTAGGTCAGTGCCTAGTACATACAATGTATTCAATAAATATTTGTTGATGGATCATATTAGCTAAAATTTATAGGGTACTTATGGTGTACCAGAAAGTATTCTAAGCACTTTATGCATATGAAATTATTTTAGTTCATAATGAACCTAATAGGTTCAATTATTACACTCATTTTACAGATAGGGAAACAAATCCTGGAAATTGTAAGTAACTTGGCAGTGATCATGTGGTGAGTATGAGGCAGAGCTGAGACTTGAGCCCAGGCAGCCCAGTTTCAGAGTCTAAGTTCAAGAGCCCCAAGTGTTATCTCCAACGATGGCCAACATTTACCGAACTTTCCTTTGTGCTTTAATTCTCATACTTAACATCAGTTTATTTGAGAAAACGTGACACAGACAGGTTAAGTAATATCCATTCTCCCATAAGTAGTAACGGGCTGAGCTGAACCCTGTGCTCTGTCTGGCTGTGAGTGCCTGAATCTTTCATCACTATGCTTCATTGCCTTCATTATGGAAGTGAAATAAAGCATTGTTAGACGGCCGAATGAGGAATGGCGTCTAAATGGCTTCTGCATCCCTCACACTGCAAGCAGGAGTCTCATACATAGACAGTGCCACACACATGACTTGAAATGATGGCGATGAGGTATAAGGGATGAAACACTAGACTAAGACTGGGAGATCCAACTTGTCCTCCTGGCTCTGCCACAGAGTTTCTTTGTAACCTTGTGGACTTCACAGTCAAACAGGCCACCACTTAAGACACAAAAATGAGAGGTTTCTAGTTTCCTGGGTTCCCTCCAGCTCTGATGCTGATCCCAGCAGCCGCAGCCCTGAGTCCACCCAGAGAGCCCCTTTTCCATCTTGGAGGCCAACCAGGTAAAGCTTTTCCTTCAAGTGTTTTGATTGGTTTGTTCACCTCCTGAGGCACGTGCTGTTTTGGTTGCCTGGCAACACGGTGATGGAGACTACCAATTCCCAGAGGAGCAATGAATGAATGAGCAGAGATAGTCACTCTGGGAGCAGTGGCCACAGCCAGAGGAGTGCATTGCAGAATTCCTAACTCTGTCATTTATTTTTATTTATTTATTTTTTTGAGACACAGTCTTGCTCTGTGGCCCAGGCTGGAGTGCAGTGGCGCCATCTCGGCTCACTGCAAGCTCCACATCCTGGGTCCACGCCATTCTCCTGCCTCAGCCTCCCAAGTAGCTGGGACTACAGGTGCCCGCCACCACACCCAGCTAATTTTTTGTATTTTTAGTAGAGATGGGGTTTCACCGTGTTAGCCAGGATGGTCTCGATCTCCTGACCTCGTGATCTGCCCACCTCGACCTCCCAAAGTGCTGGGATTACAGGCGTGAGCCACCGTGCCCGGCCCCAACTCTGTCTGTCTTGAATGTGCTTTGCCCGTCCTACTAGTATAGCAGCGTAATGGAGATATTTGGGGGAAAGAAGAAGAATTTCCATTTCAAAGGTGGTAAAAATCTTTATGCACAATCTCAAGGGATTAAAATGCCACCTGCCCATAGTGAGGTGACCCAATCACAAAAATCACAACCACAGGTGTGCTTTAGTATTAATAATAAAAGATTTCCCTCCATGTAAAAAGCCATGGTTTTCTCTGTTCCACTTGCTTTTAGTGATACATTCCAGGTTCTGGATTTCAGGACAGGACATATAAATTGGTCCAATTGATCCTCATGATCATCTCACAAGACAGGAAGAACTGAACTTCAGTAGACAGAAAAGTCTTTTTTTTTTTTGAGACAGTCTCGCATTGTCGCCCGGGCTGGAGTGCAGTGATGCGATCTCAGCTCACTGCAACCTCTGCCTCCCAGGTTCAACCGATTCTCCTGCCTCAGCCTCCTGAGTAGCTGGGATCACAGGTGCCCGCCACCACGCCTGGCTAATTTTTTGTATTTTTAGTAGAGACGGGGTTTCACTATTTGGCCAGGCTTGTCTCGAACTCCTGACCTCGTGATCCATCCGCCTTGGCCTCCCAAACTGCTGGGATTACAGGCATGAGCCACTGCACCTGGCCTCAGAGAAGTCTTTTAGAATGGTTAAAAGCAATGCTTTTCAAAGAATGTGGATGTGGATCTGGGTTCAACTCCTGACCCTGGCACTCTTAGAGTGTGTGACTTTAGTAAGTTTCTTAGCTTCTCTGAGCCCATACATCTCTATCTTTAAAATGGAGGTATTAATATCTATCTTAAAGTGTCACTGAAAGAATTCAATAAGAAAATAAAGGTTAAACACTTAGCAGAGAGGCTGGTGCACAAGTGTATTATTATTAATTATTACTATCATTATCATTATTGCTTAAGATCACACACACTATTTAAGTGGTAAAGCTGGGATTTGAACCCAAATCTCTAGTAATGCCAAGGTAAATGTTTGCCATTATCTCGTTTCTTCTTTGAAAGGAAAAGTCATAAGAATGTATTCTTTCAATGACTATTTTTCAGCCACTATGTGATATAGCATTTTATAGACCAAGCAGTTCTTTCAAATGCCTTCTTTCACTGATTATGGTATGCTTACTCCTCTGAAGTCCAGATGGAGATGGTTTTGAAGAAAGTAATGATCTGCTTCTGGAAGTTAAGCTCTGCTCTCCTTCCAGGGGCTTGAAAACCAGGAAAGGGAGCCCCTCTCCCAGTGTAGCGGAGCCAGTCCAAGCAGAAGGTGACAAGGAATGCTGCTGGAACTCAGCATCCAGTCTCACAGAGCCTGAAGAAAGGCCAGTCAGCTGGTCCTCCTCTCATGCCTGTTCTGCTCGACACAAAGGACTGGAAGCATCAGTGTGTCTCTGGAGTCCAGCATGGAGGTACCGGTGTGTGGCCAGATGGCTGGAGTTCAGGCTGAATCTGTTCTTGCCGATGGCAAGTTCTCTAACTTCCAGCCAGGTGCTTCTCCACTGCCTCCCCGCAACACACAGGGTACAAATTTAAAGCCAGTTGTCTAGCTTCTGTTGCTACTTGCCTCTGCTTAGAATAGCTGAGCCGAATGGATCTTAGAAATCTCTCTCTTTTGCATGTCAATCATATCTGAATAAAGTGGTTCTTTTACAAAAGAAAATCTTTTCACTCTCTCTTTTTCTCTCTCCCTCTCTTTCTCCGCCTTCAGTTCTTTTCTCCTTCCTTCTCTCTCTCTCCTTTTAACCTTCTTTGTATTTGTCTTTATTTCTCTATCTCTGTCTCTCCACGCCTCACCGCCCCCTGCCCCAACACATGCACATACACTTTGCAATGGCACCTGAGCCACCTCTGGCAAATCCTGGGGCACTGGAAAGTAATGAGAAAACCATTGACTAGGCCCAAACCCCTCATTCTACAGAGGAGGAACAGAGACCCAGAGGAGGGAAGTGATTTGCCTGAGGTCACACAGTCGAACGCCCTGACTCCCAATCTCATGTGCTTTCTTTTTTATGGCACTGAATACAGAACCCTTTTTCAAGTTTCCATTCTAAAATCTTCCCATTTAAAAATATTGTACTTCATTGTTCAAATAAAAAAAGAAATTGCAAGAGTTTGGATTTTTAATTAAATTTTAATTACTGTATATCCATAATAATTATAACATCACAAAAATTTAAACATAATGGAAAAGACTAACGCCCTCTTTGAAATCCACCCACAAAAATACACATATAATGAGGTTCTCTCCTTGCTGCCCTTAGAGATAATTGTTAGCACTTTTTGTGTTTTATTTTATTTTATTTTTTTGAGATGGAGTTTTCACTCTTGTTGCCCAGGCTGGAGTGCAATGGCACAATCTCGGCTCACCGCAACCTCCGCCTCCCAGGTTCAAGCGATTCTCCCCCCTCAGCCTCCCAAGTAGCTGGGGTTACAGGCATGCGTCATCACACTTGGCTAATTTTTGTATTTTTAGTAGAGACGGGGTTTCTCCATGTTGGCCAGGCTGGTCTCGAACTCCAGACCTCAGGTGGTCCACCCACCTTGGCCTCCCAAAGTGCTGGGATTACAGGTGTGAGCCACCGCGCCTGGCCCTTTTTGTGATCTTAGAGTAGATGTGTATGTATATGTATGTGTGTGTACATACATGCTATATCCATTTTTCTTCAATTTGCCTTATTCATTCAGCAATAATGTTTAGCCATTATAACACATATGAATCTGCCACACTCTTTTTAGTGCTTTGTAATATTCCACGTATATGGCCCTGCCATTGTATACTTACCCATTCCTTATTGATGAACTGTTGGATGATTTCAGACAATGCTACAAAGGATATCGTCATATTGTGCCCTCCTCCTTCAGCACGTAAGGGAACCTGTCATTAGGGACAGTCCCTAGAGGTAAAGCAGCTGATTTGTGGCACATGAGCATTTTAAATGTTGAGACAACCTCATCTCCTTTCTCTTGATGCACATTGTCGCTTGAGGGTTACTGCTGTCGAATTATTCCTTCCACACCAAAGAGGAAATGAGATAAAATATTTTCTTGATTAAATAACACCACATGCACGGGAACAGATGGGTCTAGAAAATAGATCATGCACAGAAGGGATAAGCTGATGTGTAAATGGAAGAATTTGAAAGGTGTCCAGAGTCCTGTGACAAAGCACAACCCCTGTCAGCCTGCAACCATACCTGAGAGTTCCCTTATTAATGGTCCTCCTTCGGAGAAAAAGTATTCAGTCTCCAGAAGGCTCTTGTAAGAATATAAATACACTATCTCAGAAGGGTGACACGCAATGCATGGATTAATTAATCAGTTTAACCAACAAAGAAGTGCTAAAAACTTGAACAAACCAGTTCCCTTCTCTAAGCAACAGTAGTACTAACTTTAGAGGGTTTTGTGAAACCTAAATAAAATAAAAATATGCAAATGCTATTAAAAAGGCTTGACAAATAGTACATACTCAATATAATGTAGTTTTTAGGATTGGCTTAGAGTTATAAAGGACAAAATAGATACACATTTCAAGCTGGGTACATGATTGTGATTGGAAAATGTTTGGTGAGGAAATGTCTTCACTAGGGCGTAGTTAGCCCCTAACATCAGAAGGCACTTGAATGGTTCATACCCATTGTTCCATGGTCCCTCCAGCCCTACCTTCTCAACCCTGAGAAGCAGCTATTATTATGAAGTAGTTGAGGCATAAAGAGTGTCTCACACCTGGGAAGTTCAGAATTGAGACCCAAACCAAGGTGTATATGATTTCAAAGCCCATTTTACTTTTTTTTTTTTTTTTAAATACGGAGTCTTGCCCTGTTGCCCAGGCTGGAGTGCAATGGTGTGATCTCAGCTCACTGCAACCTCCGTCTCCCGTGTTCAAGCAATTCTCCTGCCTCAGCCTCCCAAGTAGCTGGGATTACAGGCGCATGCCACCATGCCTGGCTAATTTTTGTATGTTTAGTAGAGACAGGGTTTCACCATGTTGGCCAGGCTGGTTTCGAACTCCTGGCCTCACGATCCACCCAAAGTTTGGAAAAATGAAGAGGCTAACAGACAAGAAGTTGAAATGAAGACGCTAGACAAAGTCCAGGAAGTGGACCTGAGACGTTAACTTCAGCTCAGGCCCTCTCAACCTTGACTATACATTAGTGTCATCTGGGAGGCTGAAAAATACATATAACTTCTGAAACCCTGGCCCCGCTCCCTGTCAACTGATTTGGTTGGGGCATCAGGGGCCAAGGGCATCGGAGGCCAGGTCACTGGTGCATTGTAAGTTCTAGAGGTGATTCTAACATGCAGCCAGCAGTGAGAACTGCTGCCAAGGTGTTTTCATGGATGTTCCCACTGGACTTAGTCTTCTCTCTGCCTTGCTGCAGCTGCTCCCTGGTGAGTCGTGGAGGCAGATGTATTAGAACAGCACCTTTGAAAGTGACATGATCAGCTAAAACCTTCAAGCACCCTTAATTACAAATGAACACCCACTGACATCTGCCTCCCTTTAAGGGGGACTCCAAGGACTTGGAAACTTATTTCTCTGGTTGCCATGACAATCCTTTGCAACGTCAGCAAAAATGCTCTGTGCTGCAAACAAGCTAGCACAAAAATCTCCCAAAGTCTTCAGCTCAGAATGAACCTCAACACCAGATCAGGACATGTCACGTCTGAGCCTTTACTCAGGAATCCCAGGAAAGAACCATAGATGTTAGGAAATTCTAAACACTCTCTTCATTTGACCAGGTTTCAGAGATAAAACAAATTGCCTCATGTTGAGGAATAAACTAATACTTTCAAAATTTCTTTTATTCTATCCTTAACTTCCCCATCTTCCCAAAAGATTTTTTTTTTTAATTCAAATAGGAAACAAGTGAAACCAAACAGTTCTAATTTCACCCTGTCATTGACACTCTGGATAGACTCAAGAGTACTTTACTCCTCCAGCTGATAAAGCTTAGCATTTTACCCCTCAGGGACAGGTTTGAATTTGTACCCACACTCCCATCAGTTTTCACACCTAGCAATTCATCTTTAATGATATGGAGTTTAGGCACCATGATAGTTATGTAGGGGAAAATATTAATGAGCTTTTTCTATCACCTTAAAAATCTTGCTTTGGATGGACAACCAAAAAGACTCCACTCTTTTCGGTCCGTATGGTTAAGTCTTAGCTAAATGAAGTGGAAACTGTCCTGAATTAGGGCCTAGGTCCCAGGTATAGCTCTGTCACTCACCAGCTGTGTTACATGACACGAAGCTGTGTGTGCTAAAATCACACATGGCCTTTGTTGTCAGACAGAACTGAGTTCGAGTTCTCACCTCAACTATGTATTATCTATATGACCTGGGGCCACCCTCCATTTCTTCAGCTATAAAATGAGGATAATAATACCTCCTTAACAAGATCGGCATATGGGTATATAAAGCATTTAGCAGTGCCTGGTACATAACATGTGTTGAGTAAATGGTAGCTATGATTATAATAATCTATAAACTGTGAATACTATCTATTCTGCCTACTTCGCAGGAGTGCATATGAAATGAGGGAATTTATATGAAAGTACTTTGAAAAACTACAAAATTTACATACGAGAGGGCTATTTCTAGAGTGGTTTTGTTATTATAAGAGCCTGCTCACTTAAAAAAAAAATCTGTTAAGAATAGCAGACTTGGGTTCTTTTCAAAAACAAATAACCTTTTAAACACTACCACCGCCACCCCATGGGGTTGGATTTCTTACTGAGTAGTGAGGGAACATGTATACCTATCACCGTGTGTGCATCCATCTGTATGCAAATTCCTGCGCTGAATTGTTGCCCTGGGGAAAGGATCATATGATGCAATATGTTTCTTTTCTTCCTAGATCCATGAGGATTTTTGGTTAAAAGCAAGAGAAATAATTGGAGTAGCTAACACAAGAAGACAGTTTTAACAGAGATGGGAGACTCACAAAATAAAATTGGGTAGGGGACAGGGATGGCAGGACCAAACTTGAGAAACAGAAATCTAGGAAATTCACGAGGTTGGGCGGCAAGATTCATGACCAAGAGTCCAGGAAACTGCTGCCACCACCATTACTGTAAGCAAGCAGTCTTAGTATGTCCAATTTCTCTCTTCATCTTTGTCACTTTCGGGTGAGGGAAAGTCCCAGGAGTGAGCATCCAATAGGCTCAACTTAGACAACATCCTTTCTTCAAGGATTTTTGGAGTAGTTGGGGAGTGGCAAATTGTGCAAGAATCTGTCCCTGGGAATTGCCAGGTCACCATACAAAAAAAAAAAAAAATCCCCCAAAAGAAACATGGAGTACAAATAGAAATAAACAAGTCTTCTAGGAAGCCACCTTTTGTCAGCTCTCATTCTACTGATGAAGAAGGTTCAGAGAAGTTATTCAAGGACTTAGTTTCAGGTCTCCTGGTTCCTAATCCATGTTGACCCTCCTACACAAAACCCAGCAATTTATAAAATCATAAGCCATTTCTCCAGCTTTAAATGATGTCTAAGGTGGAGGAGATAGGAGTAAAAGGGACTGACTCTACAGAAAGTGATTTTCTGTTTTCAGGCCTTTTTGATTACATGAGATCAGTACATAAGAATAAATAATGCTAGAATGCAGCTGACCTCCAATGCATGATGGGAGAACCTCATTACTGCAAAACCCTTGGTGATATATATTGAGAAGTGGCTACAATACATTGAATTTTCAGTAGAAACCATTAAGCACTCCTGCATCTAATTGCCATTTTTTCTTATTCAGAGTGCAATAAAAAATAATTTTCCATGCAATAATTTATCTGGCTTTCATCTAAACCTCTATGCCATTCTGTTTCCTCTTTCCTTCCTTGCTTCAGACTGACAGCACTGAGGCCTTTTAGATTTACAGACCCAGACATGAATACACACCTTCCATGTTTCCCCAAGCAACATTCCTGTGCATATTTGAAAACCAGTAGTTAAGAAAAATTATGATGATGTTACAGCTCCAAAGGTTACAGTTGGGAGGAGTTTTGGAGGAGCTGTGCTCTAGCCTGAGGGAAACTGAGGCTTAGAAGATATATGTCAGGTAGATGGAGGTAGGGGCGGGCCAAATGCCATTAAAGACTATGCTGGGTTTTTCATTTGGGATTTCCTTGATCCTTTTATTTCCCATTATTGTTCTCATCCAATCTGGACAGACACTATGAGGGTTTCTTTAAAAGGTTGGAGGTATTGTCTAATCCAGAGGTGGAAATAGTCCCTAAGGGGATAAATCCAGCCCATACATGGGTTTGATCTTGTCCAACAGTCTTGGCCAATACAGTCTTTTAAAAAGTTTTAGTTAATTGGCTGGGTGCAGTGGCTCACGCCTGCAATCCCAGCACTTTGGGAGGCCAAGGCGGGCGGATCATGAGGTCAGGAGATCGAGACCCTCTTGGCTAACGCGGTGAAACCCCATCTGTACTAAAAATACAAAAAATTAGCTGGACGTGGTGGCGGGCGCCTGTAGTCCCAGCTACCTGGGAGGCTGAGGAAGGAGAATGGCGTGAACCCGGAAGGCAGAGCTTGCAGTGAGCCGAGATTGCACCACTGCAATCTCGACAATCCACTGCAATCCAGCCTGGGCGACAGAGCGAGACTCCGTCTCAGAAAAAAAAAAAAAAAAAGTTGTAGTTAATTACCAGCATTTAAAAAAACCAGAGATTTAACATAATCTGAATTTCTGGCCTCTTAATAAAAATCAGGGTCTGGTGTGGTGGCTCACGCCTATAATCCCAGCACTTTGGGAGGCCAAGGTGGGCAGATCACGAGGTTAGAAGTTCGAGACCAGTCTGGCCAACATGGTGAAACCCTGTCTCTACTAAAAATACACAAATTAGCCAGACGTGGTGGTGGGCGCCTGTAATTCCAGCTGCTTGGGAGGCAGGAGAATTGCTTGAACCAGGGAGGCGGAGGTTGCGGTGAGCTGAGATCGCACCACTGCACTCTAGCCTGGGTGACAGAGCAGGACTCAGTCTCGATAAAAAACAAACAAACAAAAAACAGAACATCTGGCAACTCTGGGTGGGTCTCCATTCACATATGGCAAAAATCAGTTGGAGCTGAGCAGTGACTGTCACCTTAGGCAGGTGTGCATACCTCAGTCTGTCACAAGCCCCATCCCTCCTTTCTATTATACCCTGCCAACCTCACTTAGTACATGACTACCCGGCCACGTCGGTATTAAAGTTTGTGATCCTTCAGCTAGTCTTATGCCCTCTTAGTTACTGAGGTTAGAGTCACTCCCTCTTAGTTACTGAGATCATGTACTAACGCTCATGCAGTAAGTGGAAGATGCTGGGTAAGAACCTTCCCGATCTTGGAAATAGTACCATTACTCCACAGTGGCTCAAGCTAAACACCTAGGAGATTTTCTTCTTTCATCCCTTTACGTCAACCCCTGTCATAGTCTATTTTGTGCCAATATAACAGAATATCACAGACTGGGTAATTTATAAGGAACAACAATTTATTTAGCTCATGGCTCTGGAGGCTGGGAAGTCCAAGATTGAGGGGCTGCATCTGGTAAGGGCCTTCATGCTGAGTCACCCCATGGCACAAGGCAGAACAAGAGAGCAGCAGAGGGGTGGGGAGAGGGCCACTCCTGGCATTAATGGAATCACCTCTTAAAGGTCCCACCTCTCAACACTGTTGCATTGGGGATTAAGTTTCCAAGATATGAACTTTGGGGAACATATTTAAACCATAGCATCCCCTAAATCCAGCCTAATCCATCATCAAGCCTTCCTGTGCTACTTTTGACACACATTGCAGGAGGTCCACCTTTTCCGTATCTTGCTGTCACCACCCTGGTCTTCATCACCATAATCTCTTGCCTGAATTGTTCCCTCCAGATTGATATGACAAAGCCCTGACCCTCACGGTGGCCTACAAGGTTCTGGGTGATGGTGATTCCACACTAGTCTACCTCTCTGGCTGTAACCCACTCTCCCCTTGCTCACCTCACTCAGCCACCCTGGGGGCCAGTTCCAGCTTCAGAACCATGCATCGGCCGACCCCTCTGTCAGCAATGCTCTTGCTTCAGCCCTGGAATCGTTTTTGTCCTCCAAGTATCCAATATCACAAGCGGCCCGGAGACCACCCTAGGTATAGCAGTCCTAGACCCCTTTCTTTTTCTTTTCTTTTTTTTGGAGACGGCATCTAGCTCTGTTGCCCAGGCTGGAGTGCAGTGGCTCTAACTCGGCTTACTGTAACTTCCACCTCCCGGGTCCAAGCAATTCTGCCTCAGCCTCCCGAGTAGCTAGGACTACAGGTGAGGGCCACCATGCCCAGCTAATTTTTGTATTTTTAGTAGAGACGGGGTTTTATCATCTTGGCCAGGCTGGTCTTGAACTCCCGACCTCGTGATTCACCTGCCTCGGCCTCCCAAAGTGCTGGGATTACAGGCGTGAGCCACAGGCACCCAGCCGACATTCTCTTGTTTTTTTCGTTTGTTGTATATAACCTACCCCCACCTCCACCCCATGCAAAGTCCACGAGGACGATAGACTTTGTCTTGTTCCCTGTTGCATCCTGGCCCTAGGGCCTAGCCCACAACCTGGGACATTTCCTGACAAGGGGCCCTGGTTTCTCTGAGGTGCCACCTGAGGTCCGGGAGGTCAGCTGACTTTCCCAAAGGTGGATTCCAAGGACACTGCATTCTTCGCACTCCCCGAGGGGCGTCTAGACACTCCTGGGACCCAGAATTATTAGCTAACTGGGCTCCTGAGTCCGGTGAGAGCTCAGAGTCTAGAAGCAACTTTCCCTGCCTGGAGAGGTGAACCCAGCAAGGCGTTGGGGAGAGGCGTGGGCGAGGGAGTGGGCGCGGGTGGGCGGGGCCGTCCGGGGGCCTCGTTGCCCGAGCCAATGGGGCGCCGCGGCGCGGGGAGGCCGGGCCGCCGGGCGGGGGCGCTCGCGCGCGTTGAGGGGCAGAGGCTGAGCTCCCGGGACCCGGAGCGGATCGACTGGCGGGCGCCGCGCCGAGGCACCACCGGGCGCCGAGTTCCTGGCGGCTCGCACGGTAAGCGGCGCGGCGCCGCAAAGTAGACTTTGTGGGGTTTCTGACAGCCGGGAGACCCCACCTCGAGCGGGGGCTGCTGGTGCGTTCTCGCGTCGGGCTGCGTCCCCTGGAGCTCCGGCTCTGTGTCCGCGGGATGCGGGCGCACGGAGGGGCAGGGAGGGAGGCAAGGAGCCGCGCACCACGGTGTCTCCCCAGGCTGCCGCTGCCGGGGCCCTGGGCCGGTCCCTGGGACAGACAGATCGGCGTGCGGGGGCCGTCTGCCGGGCCCGGGAGCCGGGGGCGCGCAAGACTGTGGATCCTAAGACTGCCTCCACCCAGCGCCCGGCCCGGGGAAGAGCTTGCGGGAAACCAGGAACCGCAGCGGCCGGACCTCTGCTCTGCGCCGGCTCCTAGGACCTGCCTTAGGTCCCCAGACCCCTCATGACCTGTTGCCTTGGGTTTGGGAGGTCAGGTTTGTCATGCCATTTCCGATTTCCAGTCATCCTGGGGGCAGGATGAAATTTCAGAGTGGTTTCCTGGCCAAGCTAGAAGCAGAGAATAGCTATGGATACAGCACCTCGTGTATCTATCCAGCACTTACTTGGCTTTTTCTGAGTGCCAGGAACTGTGCCAAGCCCTAGCAGCATGAAGAATGGCCTTTGGGGAGCTTCTGGGGCTAAGAGGGACAGTAGGAGGAGCAATTGCAGTGCAGGGTAGTGCGGAAGACTCGAGATGGAGAAGAGGACGGTGAGGAAGCCAGGAAGGTTTCAGAGAGGAGGTGAGCATTGACTGGAAGTCGGAGGTTTTGCCAGGCTGAAAAGTGTGTTGGGACTGTGAGTTGATAGGGAGCAGGAATTCCAGGTGGGTTTTCTTGTGTAAAGGTAAAGAAACTGAAAAGGTCCGGTGTCCTGACCTAGCACATCAGATAATTCTACAGCAGATAATGGAGTAGGACCGGGTCTTGCTGTAGGTAGGAAATGAGCTCTCGACATGGCAGGAAGCTAAAACCTGCACAGACCTTAAAGTGCAGCCTTAGAATATTTAGAATTTTATCCTGGAATGAAGGAGGGCCGTGGAAGAATTCTGATCAGTGATCAGGTCCCTCTGGCAGCTCTGGGGACAATGGATGGAGGCCGGAGCATCAGAAAGCTGGTAAGTTGTAGTTGTTTTCTGGTCCTTGGCTGCAAATACTCTTCCCTGCTTAAGGGAGCCCCCTCTGCCCGGGAGCCCTGCTCCCTGGCTTCTGGACATGGATTCAGGCAAAGAGATGCTGCCCGTGTAATGCTTGCTTCTGCAGCCTGCACATCATTTTGATATTGTTTCTGGAGCCTGTGACCTCAGTCTTGTCATCAGGCCTCTGAAGGGTGCCTCTGCTCTTCTTTTCTCATCTTCAAGCCCTCTGTGTGCCCTTCCCCTCTGCCTGGGCTCCCCTTTCTGTTTCACAGAGATCCAGTCTCAGCCATTGGAGGCAAGGCTGTGTGTAGATTGGTGTAGTAGAAAGAACAAGGGCTCGCTGGGAAATCAGACCAGAAAGTCACTTTAGCCATAGGCTTTGGGGACATTAGCAACCTTCATGAACCTTCTTTTTCTGATTTAAAAGGAAATCATTGTACTCACCTGTCATGGTTTGGGTTCCCTGGAAAAAGACTTGGCGCTTCTGAGATTTTTGTGCAGATAAGGGAAGCAGAACTGGGCAGAGGGAGATGTTGATCTATGGTGCAGTGCAAGAGAGGTCTCAATCCCTCCCATGAGACAAAGAGACGAGGCCTTTGAAGCTTAATGTTGATCAGCCAGTGGGTGCAGGCTGGTCCTAGGGAGGGAGCTAGGATGTCCCTTCAGCAGGACAGTTCCTGACTAGGGACTCACCTGGGAGCTGGGGTAACCAACACTCTGGCAGCTGGACATGGGGAAGTCATGAGTGTCTTGGTCTTGGAGGGGGAGTTGAGCATTTCCCCACGGTATCCACTACACTACCTCACAAATGAAGTAGTGCTTTGTACTGTGCCTGGTGCATAGTAGATATCTTAAAAGTATTCATTTCTCTCACCTTTAAGTTTCATGACTGCACCTGAAAATGAGTTTTGGAATTCGAGTTGAGTCAGCTTTTGTGAGGAGCTTTTAATAATAATAGCCACGAAGACTACTGCTTCCCTTTTTTGAGTGTCTATTATGTATATACATTCTCTTCTAGTTGTCCAATAATACTCCAACTTAGGTACTTTTATTCTCATTTTATAGTAAACCCAGTCTCTTCCAAAACCCAACCAAGTTGATGTTCTTTTGCCACAAAATAATAATTATAATAATAACAATCACTCACAACTCTATGATTTGTTACACTTTCCAAAGTGCTTTCATTGGTGGATTGATTGATTAATCATTCATTCATCCACTAATTAATCAATCAATGTGTATTGAGTGTCTCTTAAGGAGTAGGCGCTATCCTAGGTGATGGGGAGAAAGCTCAGTCTATTAGAGGAGATAGACATTAAATGCTTGGATTCATCAAAAGCAAGTGTTGAGGGGTGGAACATTGCATTGCATAGCCAGTATGTGATAGAGAATAACAGGCTCTTTGTCCAATTGACTCCTTGCCTTCAGTTTCAATATAACCTTCTTGGAAAGGCCTTCTGTACTCCCTCCCTTTTATTCTCCCTTCGTAACAGTCATTTATCTATTTTATTTACTTTCCTATTGTTGGTCCTCCCCTTTAGACTGCAGACTCCAGGGGATCATACATTGCTTCATCCCAAGAGCCTACCACAGGGTTTAGCACATATTTCTTAAATGAGTGAAATGAATGAAGGGTGGATGTGCTTAACAGTGTAGTCAGGGAAGGTCTCCCAAAGTAGTGATATTTACACTGAGATCTGGGGAATGAGAAAGATCCGGCAACGCCAAGATCAAGAGGCAGAGAGAACAGCTTATTCAAAGACCGCGAGGTGGAGGAATGGAGGCTATTGTGGTTGGAGCGCATAGTGGGCAAATTGTGTGGAGTGGCCCGAGATGAGTTTGAAGGCAGTGGAGTCTTGGAGGCCATGCTGAGCTTACATTTTTATCTAAAGTGCAACAAACGAATCATTGAAGGATTTTAAGCCTGATGTGATAGTGTATATTTGTGTGTTGTCTGTTATGCCTCTGGGAGGAGAACTCCTTGAAGAAAGGTGCTTAGTAAATAGTGCTTAAATGAATGGATGATCTGGTTTATGTTTTAAAAGGAGTCAATCTCAGCTTCCAGGTGAGAAGTGGAATAGAGAGAAGAAAGATCTTGTCACAGTTGGAAGCTCAGTGAGATATATATTGGTGTCTGGGCTAGAGGACAGCAATAGTGTTGGAGAAAAGTAAAAGGGTTTGAGCTCTATTTAGGAAGCAAAATGGACAGGACTTGCTGATACTTTAAATGCAGGGAATATGGGAAAAGGGTGGGGATGAAGGATGGTGGCCAGCCTTATGGTTTCAGATTGGTTGGCTACTGAAAGTCTGGCAGCTCCATCAGTAAGTGACTGAATAAACAAAATGTAGTATAACATACAATAGAATGTTACTCAGCCATAACAAGGAGTGAAGTACTAATACATGCTGCAATGTGGATGAACCTTAAAAATGCTATGTGAAAACGTGGTTTAAAAGCCAGACACAAAAGGTTACATAGTGTATGATTCCCTTTATGTGAAGCATCCAGAATAGGTCAATCCATAGAGACAGAAAACAGATTGGTGTTTGTGCTGATCTGAGGGGGAAGTGGGACTGGGGCTTGACTGCTTAATGGCTAAGTGGTTTCCTTTTGAGGTGATGAAAATGTTTTGGAACTAGATAGAGGCGACAGTTTGTACATCATCATGAGGATAGTAAATGCCACGCATTGTTAGTTTAAAATGGCTAGCTTTTAGTTATGTAAATTTCACCTAATTAAAAAAACAAACAAACAAAAGTTGGGTGGATGGGAGCACTATTCACATAACAGAGACTAGGCGAGGAGCAGGTTGTGCTTAGAGGATACAATTCAAATACCCTCTTGGAGATGCCCGTAAAACATCCACATAGAGACAGGAATTGGCTGTGAGTCTGGAGTCGAGGAGGGGAGTCTGGGCTGGAGATATAAATATGGCAGTTGTCAGCACTTAGATGTCAGCCAATAAAATGGATGAGTTCGAGTGTGAGAGAGAGAGGAGGAGAAAATCAGAGCTTTGGATCATTCTTTAATTTGATCTTTATAACTATTCATAGGAGATGCGATTGTCCTCATTTTTAGATAAGGACACCAACCCCCTCTCCCGTGTCCAAACGAACTTGCCCAAAATCAGTTCGTTCCTGTGAGTCTCCAGACTTCCAATCCTTTGTCTTTCCCATCTCAGTGTGATGCCATTTAGAACTTCGGCAAACACTTTCTCTCCCAAATCTTTTGGTCATGATTGAGTATTCACACGTGGCAGGCACTGTCCAGGTTTATGTTAGTGGAGAAAGTAGACATGGCTCTAATCTCATGGAGTTTATCCAGTAAACAGGAAACTGCAGCCCACAACTCCAGGAGACCTTAAGATCACAGAGCAGGGGCATCTATCCCTGGTTTGGGGGTTGGCGGGTGGTTGGGGAAGGCTTCCAAGAGATAGTGATGTTTAAGCTGAATTTGTAACAGAAGCAGAGGGAATTAGCCCAAGAAAGAGAATAATCCACCATTGTCTTCATTTCCCCGTTCCTCCCAGGTTCCTGGCATTCTCCAACTCATCAAGAGAGTCTATGTTTTCTGTAACTCTAGAGGCAATAAGTAAATAAAAGGCTTGGTTTGACTTCAAGCGGGAGCTTCAAAAGGGTAGCAAGGTCGGGTCCCAACAGCCTGTCTTTCAAAGCAAGGCTCCATCTCTTGCTCAACTGACTTATCCTTTTTTTTGAAACGGAGTCTCGCTCTGTTGTGCCCAGGCTGGAGTGCAATGGCGTGATCTTGGCTCACTGCAACCTCCGCCTCCTGGGTTCAAGTGATTCTCCTGCCTCAGCCTCCGGAGTAGCTGGAATTATAGGCACCCGCCACCGCACCCGGCTAATTTTTGTATTTTTAGTGGAAACGGGGTTTCACCATGTTGGTCAGGCTGGTCTCGAACTCCTGATCTCAGGTGATACACCCACCTCGGCCTCCCAAAGTGTTGGGATTACAGGTGTGAGCCACTGCGCCCGGCCGACTCAGCCTCTCTTAACCTGACTTTTTATACTTGGGATATGGAGCCATTGTTCAGTGCAGGAAATAAATGAGATGATGTAGCAAAGTGTTGGATACATGAAAAATGCTCAGAAAAATGTTATCTTGTTTGGAGAGGAAGACTTTCTGAGTTGATCAGTGGTTGCCACACTCTGTACACTATTTATAATACAGCTATCCATGCTCCCTTTGTAGGTTCTGATTTAGATGGGTTGAAATGAAAAATGATGATCTGTATGTTTAGAAAGCATCCTGGATGATTCTGATAAAAGCAAGTTCAGGAACCATTGGTTTAGACCAAATCCTCTTTGCTCTGATGAGCATGAAAGGGTTAAGCACCTAGAAGCAGAATTTTGCCTTCTAGGAATTATTAGCCAATGACGGTGCTGACCGATGATGTAATGTCTTTGGCTGGTGCTCCATTGGTTAAGTGTATTGTTTCTCTTGCTTCAGCTATTTGAGGAGCAGAGCTGGAGCACAAGGGTTAATAATTTTGTGGAAGCAGTTAGAGCTCTCTCTCTCTCTTTTTTTTTTTTTTGTTCCTCTTCTGCTAGGTGTGAGTATACAGCAGGGCCCTGCAGATTGTTGCCCTTCTCCTTCCAACAAACATCCACACTCTCCTTACACATCCATACTCTCCTCCTTTCCTCCTCCCAAACAGAGCACATGTGTCCGTAGTACTACGGAGGAGGAGAAGGAGGAGGAGGAGGAGAAAGAAGAGGAGGAGGAGGAGGATTCTTTAGAGAAGAGATTTCAAAGTTCCACACTGCAGTCTCTTACTGCAGTCTCTCCTTGCCACCGGGGACGGGCACAGCCCCAGGTCCCTCTGAATGAATTGCTAAACTGCCACCTGCTTCTGAGCATTGTTCAACCTGGCAGAATCCTTAGAACCAGGAGGTGAGCCCAAGGTTTTGGAAGAGGGAGTGGGCCTGGTGGGAAGGAGCCGTGGGGTGCGGGGAGGACTAGCTCTAGACTGAAGGTCAGGTGCAAGCTCAAGCCAGTGGCTGCCGCTGACTTGTGATATGAGCTTGGGCAGGATGGTCTCCCTCTCTGGGTCTGTTTGCCAAAGTGCACGATGTGAGGCTTGGATTAGGGCCTTCCTAATCCAAGTTTTAGCAGACACTGTCTAGGGAGTGTGCTCACCAGGAGCTACAAGGAAGCGTGTTCTTGGTGTAGCTTTCTGTCAGATACTCCCTGAAGATACACGCTTTCTTTTGGGAATCTGGGCAGGAGGGGAGCTCGTCAGGTTATCCCTGTATCTCTGAAACCACTTCTAATCTGGTTCCTCCTTATATTGTCTGAGCTCCCTCTAGAGCACTCCGGCTCAGTCCAGTGGCCCTTGTAGAATCTGGGCTGAGGTTTCTCCAGAGACTCTTGAATGGTCTCATGGATTTTGATCATGTCATTTGGGGGGACCTTTGGGTCCCTGACCCTTGGTTGTTTGTGTGCCTTAATGTATTTGGGCACTTTTCTAGGTGTCCCAGGCTGGGGCTCTTAGGGGTGAGGAGAGGAATTCTTTTTGTATTATGGATAGTGTAACTGTGATTTTTTTTTTGTTTGTGTTTAATGGGAAATGGATTATTGCCTCTACCTAAAACTTCTCACCTTGTCCAGAAAGGGTCCCAATGTAGGCATGTGTGCCTCAAGATGTAAACTGAAATGAGTAGATGTGGGGAAGGGAGAGGGGAGCAGAGCAGCTGAGGAAAACTGCTAGCAAGAACCACTGACCTTCATTTCATAAGTAATTCAAGAAATCCTTGCCTTTCATAGACACACTGCGATCCTGGCTATCTCTTGCGGTCCTCCAAAGATATACAGAAATAGAAAATTTTTCTATTTTTAATTTTTCAGAATTGGGTTATAAGTGATGGGTTCTCAATTTTGGAGAATGAGGCCTACAAAGGGTTATCTTTGTGTCTTGTGTGGTCCTTGGTGTTTGCCACCCTGTGTTCTAGGCCAGGCTTGCTGATGTAGGTCCTTGAGCAAGTCACCGAACGTTTCTGAGCCTCAGTTCTCTCCCTTGTAAATCGCAGAGGTAGAAAGGAGTTGGACTTGCTGATTTTTGCAGCCCTTCTAGGTCTGGCCACCTGGGCTTCAGATTACTATAAGCCTTTGGAATTTGAATATGTTGATGAAGTGGGCTCAGTGGGTAAAGAATGTTTGAATAAAGGGATACACGGCATATGTCCTCTAGGTACTGGGTGCTTTATACGGGTTTTAATTTATTTCATCATCCGAGCTGCGCTGGTAGTGGGTAAAATTAACCCCACTCTGCAGATGTGCAAATCAAGGCTAAAGGAGGTTGAGTGACTTGTCCAAGATGATCCACTTGCTCAGTGGCAGGGCTGGTATTTAGAGCTGTGCAGGCAGATGTACTGAGGGAGGGATCCATGGCAGGATAATGGTGGGGCTGGAGCAGGAATCTTTTGTCTGCCTTTGTTTCCTTGCATGCTGTTTCTGTACTAGAAGTCATGTGCTGGTTTTGAGATAAACTAGCTCAGCCAGGTCACTGTAGCTTATCCACTCACTGTCTGGGACCACAGAAGATTGGAGGACCCTGGTTCTGAAAGGGATCTTACAGTTCTTTGGATCAAGCTCCTCAATTTGTTTTGCTTTGTTTTGTTTTTTTTTTTTTTTTTTTTGAAACAGTCTCGCTCTGTCACCCAGGCTGGAGTGCGGTGGCATGATCTCAGCTCACTGCAACCTCCACCTCCCAGGCTCAGAGATTCTCATGTCTCAGCCTCCCGAGTAGCTGGGACTACTGACGTGCACCACCACGCCCGGCTAATTTTTTGTATTTTTAGTAGAGATGGGGTTTCAATATGTTGGCCAGGCTGGTCTTGAACTCCTGACCTCAAGTGATCCACCTGCCTCAGCCTCCCAAACTGCTGGGGTTACAGGTGTGAGCCACTGTGCCTGGCCAAGCCCCTCAATTTGTAGCTGAGAAAATGGAGGTCCACAGAAGTTAGGGGATTTGTTTCATGTCACTTGATGAGTTGACAGATGGGAAGAAATGGACACAAAGACTCCCTGTCTTAGGTGTTTGGAGTTGTATTTTTATAACTTTTTTTTTTAAGAAAAAATAAAACAACAACACTCATTCATTTGAGACACATGGGGTGAGTGAGTTGCATTTAGTTATTCTCACCTCCAGGCCCCTTTCCAGTGCCAAAAGATTGGAGTAGGCTTATGGAAAACCTCCTCTGCTTGGCTTTGTGGCTGGTGTCTGAGACACAGAGGGCAACAGGCAAGCTGAGTATGAGACCTGGTCACTTTCCTTGAGCAGGCTCAGGCTGTGTTTCCTGGGGTCTTCTAGCTCACAGGTTAGCAGTCCTTCCCAATGGATGGGCTGAGACCCTGACCCTTTCCTCCTGCGTGCGGCTGGCACCGAATCTGTGCCACTGTAAGAGTAGTTGCCACATGCCGTGTGGTTTTTGTTCTTTGTCTTCCCGACTAAGAGGCATGCTTCCAGAGCGTAGCTCCCAAAATATTGAATTTAATTAATTGGTGGAGCTGCCTAATGGGGAGGCGGGTATCAATAGCTTGGACGAGCACCCAGAATAAAAACCATCCCGTGGTTATTAAAAAGCACAGTGCAGATACTTGACCCTTTTCATGATCACTATAGCATTAAGAAAGTCTCACCCAAATAACAGGCTTCAGAAATTCAAATTATTATCATAGGAAAGAGGAGTTATAATTATTCTGCAGGGCTGGAGGGCAAAGCTAGCTGCAGCAGTGGAATTTGGAGAAAAGCCGATAGCAGATAGAGGAAGAACGTGCTGGTAGTGGAGTTGTCCAGCAGGGGGAGCCCACCTTCCAAGGCCCTGTCATCATTGAAGCCCTGGCAAGGAGTGGAACTTGGCAATCTGTAACTTCCTTTCTAGAGCTAACATTTCTTGATTATCTATCAAGCGGGAGTAAATTAGAGGAAGCTAAGGGTACAGCAACACTGTGTCTTACTCATTTTTTAGGCTCTAAACCCATTGTATGGTGTGAAAATCATGTGTAGCCAAAAATACCCTAAATATATTTTAATGGTCAGAAAGTTGCATTATACATGGTTTTTGTGTATGAAACCCTGAATAGTAATTCCCTGTGCTATCCAGTGTGCAAAACTCTGGCCTACAGCAAAAGAAGTAGAAAAAGAAGGTCAAAAAAGAAGTTGTCTGCATCTTCATGCTGCTCTGTTTTTAAGGTAACTGTCAAATCTCTAGGGCATGGGGTGAAGGAGAGGGAATTCTTAGGAGTATGTATTTGCTTGCAAGGTTTCCGTCATTCAGTTTGGATAAACAGCCTCTAATACCTTCATACATGTTGTTTCAGTCCATTTTGCATTGCCATTAAGGAATACCTGAGACTGGGTAATTTATAAAGAAAAGAGGTTTATTTGGCTCAAGGTTCTGCAGGCTGTACAAGCATGGCACCAGCATCTGCTCAGCTTCTGGTGAGGCCTCAGGAAGCTTTAACTCATGGCAGAAGGCGAAGGGGTAACAGGCATATCACATGGTGAGAGAGAGAGCAACAGAGAGAGGAGTACGTGCCAGGCTCCTATTAACAACCAACTCTTGTGTGAACTAATAGGGCAAGAACTCACTCATCACCAAGGGGAGGACACCAAGCCATTCATGAGGGATCCACCCCCATCACCAAAACACCTCCCAGCAGGCCCCACCTTCAATACTGGGGATCACATTTCAAAAATATTTTTGAGGGTATTTTTAGCTACACATGATTTTCACACCATACTATGGGTTTAGAACCTAAAGAATGAATAAGATGCAGTGTTGCCATACCCTCATGCTATTTGGAGAAGGCAAACATCCAAATTATATCACGTTAATAGTTTTTTTTTTAACAATAATGAAAATTAAATGAGATAATATATGTGGAAACCTCCAGCCCAGGAAATGTTGCTGTATGGTAGGTGTTCAGTAATATTTGCTGGAAGGTAATCAGCATATTGCTTCAGCAGACTGGTCCATGCTGGTCTTTGAAACATTTTAGAGAAGAAACTGGCCACTAGTGTCCAGGTGTTGGTCGGTGTTTTCTACTTGAGGTTGGCATGTTCTGCCTGCCTCCTCCGGACAGTATTCATTCTCATGCCCCTGAATATTGCTTCTAAAGTCCAAAGTGGAAAAAGAATGGAGTTGAAGGCAACACAGACCTGAGTTCAAAATGCCAGACATCGCTGTGTGACATCGGTCATGTTACCTAACCTCTCTGTGTTGGTTCCTTTTTTTTTTTTTTTTTTTTTTGCACATGAAAATGGGACTAATAGGTCTAACCTTGAAGGATAAGAGGATTAAGAGAGAACCCTCAGAGTGCCAGGAACCTGTAGAGCAGGTGTTCTGTAAATGCTCATGTATTCATTCTCCTTGGAAAGGTGTTACAGAGAGGTGTTTTTATTATTTTTTTTTTCTTTCTTCAATCTTACCTCAAACTTCTTTGTTCACATTAGTGGCACTTCTGGATAGCTTTCTGCAAGCCCTCAGGAAACCCCACATGACATTACTCTAAGAATGCTGTCCTTATAGCCTGGCACCTCCTGCCAGTTTTCTAATCAAGCACCAGAAAGCTGCACTTAGAAGGGAGATGTTGAACTTAACACATTTTTTGAAAGCACCAACAGCTGAATTAAATGTTCGGGGCTAGGACTGCTTTACTCAGGGGCCACGTAGGCAGGTGATTTGAGGGGTGATACAAAGAAATTTTTGAGTCAAAGTATGGCTCCACGTTGAAAGCATTGGGAGTTTCATTATTGAGTGTTCGTCTCTTGGGTGTGCTCATTCATTCATTCAACAAATATTATGGAGTTTTAATCCTGTGATAGGCAGATTCTAAGTGCTGGGGATGTATTGGTGACTAGTACAGATAAGGTTACCCTCATGCATCTTATATTCTCAGAGGAAAGGTAGAAAATAACCACAAAACAAATATATTATATGATGCCACTTAGTAATGAGTGCCATGAAGAAAAACGAAACAGTATGAGGGAAATACTATTATAGATACTATTATAGAAAAGTCAGTTAAAGAAGACCTGTGTAAGGAGTAAATATTTCAGTAGAGCCGTGATGTTTGGGAGTGAGTTTTGGAAATACCTGTAGAAAAGAGTACCTGGCAGAGAGAACAGCAGATGGACCTCAGGACAGGTAAGAGGTGGGGGAAGGGAGAGTTGGAGAAGATGTCTTCAGAGAGGTTCCCAAAGCCAGGCCTGGTGGGAACTCATGGGCTGTGGAAAGGAGTTTGGATTTTTTTTTTTTTTTTTTTTTTTTTTAAACAGAGACTTGCTCTGTTGCCCAGGCTGGAGTGCAGTGGTGTGGTCTCACCTCACTGCAACTTCCGCCTCCCAGCTTCAAGCTAGTCTCCTGCCTCAGCTTCCCGAGTAGCTGGGATTACAGATGCCTGCCACCACACCCAGCTAATTTGTTTGTATTTTTAGTAAAGACAGGGTTTTACCATGTTGGCCAGGCTGGTCTCGAGCTCCTGACCTCGTGATCCACCTGCCTCGGCCTCCCAAAGTGCTGGGATTCCACCTCGCCCAGCTAATTTTTTGTATTTTGGGTAGAGACGAGGTTTTATCATGTTGGACAGGCTGGTCTCGAACTCCTGACCTTGTGATCCGCCTGCCTCGGCCTCCCAAAGTGCTGGGATTACAGGTGTGAGCCACTGCACACAGCCAGGTTGTTTCTAGTTTTTAAGGATTGTGACTAAAGCTGCTATAAACATTTGTATTTAGGTTTTTGTGTGGATGTGAGTTTTTGCTTCTCTAAGGTAAATACCCAAGAGTTGGATTGCTAGGATATGTGCTAAGTTTACATTTAACTTTATAAGAAACTTCCAAACTAATTTCTAGAGTGGCCATGTCATTTTGCATTTCCATCAACAACGTATGAAAGTTCCAGTTGCTCTGCATTGGAATCAGTAGTTGGCGTGGTTGGTATTTTTTATTTTAGCCGTCTTTATAGTTTAGTGCTATCTCAATGGTTTAATTTGCATTTCCCTAATTTGCTAATTATGTTGAATATCTTTTCAAGTGTATATTTACCATTCCTATATTCTCTTTGGCGAAGTGTCTGTTCAGGTCTATTACACGTTTTTTGTTTTTTTTTTTAATTGCTTTTTTTATTGTTGAGCTTTTAGCATTCTTTATATACCAGTACTTTCTTGGATATGTGACTTGCAAATATTTGACATGTTTTTAGAGAATCATTCTGAATGCTGTGTATTAAGAGAGCCATAGTGGGGGAAAGGTGGGAGCTATAGGATCAGTGAGTGGGTCATTGTGGTAGTTAATGGGGGAGAGATGATGATGGGCTAGACTAAGGTCCTTGGGGTGAAAGAAGTGAGAAGTGGTTAAAAAAGAATTTCTTTTTTGAAAGTAGGCCCAGCACTTTGGGAGGCCGAGGTGTGCGGATCACAAGGTCAGGAGATCGAGACCATCCTGGCTAACACGGTGAAACTCTGTCTCTACTAAAAATACAAACAAATTAGCTGGGTGTAGTGGCGGGCGCCTGTAGTCCCAGGAGAGGCTGAGGCAGGAGAACGGCATGAACCCGGGAGGCAGAGCTTGCAGTGAGCTGAGATCATGCCACTGCACTCCAGCCTGGGCGACAGAGCGAGACTCCATCTCAAAAAAAAAAAAAAAAAAAAAAAAAAGAAAGTAGAGCCACCTGGTTGATGAATGAGATGTGGAATATGAGGGAAAAGAGACGGTGAGAGTAGTAACATACCTGGAGATGTTGAGAATTTAAATATAAATCAGGCAAGGTTTCTATCCTCAAGTGGCTCCCAGTCTGGAGAGAGGAGATTTACTCTAAGCAGTTCACCTGGAACACAGCCAGGTGTGCTGTCACAGGTCATGTGCAAAGTATCAGGGGAGCAGAGGTGAGGGCCAAATTACTAAGTGTCAGGTTTGCAAGGCTAGCTGTCTGGACAGCTGCTTTCAAACTGTAATGTATTTAAGAATCATCTGGGGCTGGGCGCGGTGGCTCATGCCTGTAATCCCAGCACTTTGGGAGGCCAAGGCGGGCAGATCACCTGAGGTTGGGAGTTCGAGAACAGCCTGACCAACATGGAGAAACCCTGTCTCTACTAAAAGTACAAAAATTAGCCGGGTGTGGTGGCACATGCCTGTAATTCCAGCTACTTGGGAGGCGGAGGCAGGAGAGTCGCTTGAACCCGGGAGGCAGAGGTTGTGGTGAGCCGAGATCATGCCATTGCACTCCAGCCTGGGCAACAAGAGCGAAACTCCATCTCAAAAAAAAAAAAAAAGAAGAATCATCTGGGAAGGTTGTTAAAAATGCAGGTGGCTAGGCCCTGATCCCTCAAGTAGGAGACCTGTAGTTAGCAAGCACCAGAAATAATTCTGTGTAGGTGATTGGTTGAAACCACTATGAGAAACCCTAGGGGGAGCTGGGGAGAGTTCACAGAAAAGGTGATGTTTGAAATGGGATTTCAGCATTTAGTAGGAATTCCGACTTGGAGAAAGTTGGAGAAATGACAACCAGGCAGAGGCACAAGCAGAAGCGAAGGTCTGGAATAAGGTTAGAGAATGGCTAGAGGCTAGAATAAGCTTATGTTGGGTGAGGTGATGAGGATTGATCAAAGAGCACGTGTCTGTTTAGGGATGGGATGGGAGTCACTTGACCTCCTGTGCTCAATGAGTCTGTGAGTCTAAAGTGATTGAAGCAATTCATCAGCTCCTCAGTTATTAACAGGGGGCCTGCCATGGTGAAATACACCAGGCAGTCCAAGAGCCACGTGGACAGAATGTCTGTTGTGCTGTCAAAGTCTCACGTGACTAGGCATGTTTGAGGAAAGCTACTGCTACAGTGAACCAGCTGGCTGGAGGTGGTGTGTTGGCAGAAGATTGGTGGAAGAACGCACTGTACCTAGTACCGCTTTGGGCCTGCGTTGAAGCTCACAGACTCCACATCTTCTTTTTGTACATCATCCTGCCCACTTTTCGAGCATGCTGCAGCCACATCTTCCTGTGGCCTAACTGCTAGGTTGTTGCATCCTCACTGTGTGCAAAGCATAGTTCAATGCACTTTTTTTTTTTTTTGAGACAGAGTCTCACTCTGTCATCAGGATGGTGTGCAGTGGCACAATCTCGGCTCACTGCAACCTCTGCCCCCCAGGTTGAAGCGATTCTCCTGCCTCAGCCACCCGAGTAGCTGGGACTACAGGTGCATACCACCACGCCCAGCTAATTTTTCTATTTTTAGTAGAAACGGTGTTTCACCATGTTGGCCAGGATGGTCTCGATCTCTTGACCTCATGATCTGCCTGCCTCGGCCTCCCAAAGTGCTGGGATTACAGGCGTGAGCCACTGCGCCTGACCCAGTTCAATGCACTTTATGTGGCTTAATTCACTTAATTCTCACCACAAGCTTATGGACGAGTTAGAATTATTATCTCTGTTTTACGATGAGCAAACAAAGACACAGAAGGATGAATGACTGGCCCAATGTAACAGAGCTAAGAAACAGAATTGCTGGGATATTAACCCAGGTAGTTTTGACTTCATGGCTTGTGCTTTTATTTATTATATTATTATTATTTTTTGAGATGGAGTTTCACTCTTGTTGCCCAAGCTGGAGTGCAATGGCGTGATCTCAGCTCACTCCAACCTCCATCTCCCGGGTTCAAGCCATTCTCCTGCCTCAGCCTCCTCAGTAGCTGGGATTACAGGTGCCCGTGACCGCACCCAGCTAATTTTTGTATTTTTAGTAGAGACGGGGTTTCGCCATGTTGGCCAGGCTGGTCTTGAACTACTGACCTCAGGTGATCCGCCCACCTCGGCCTCCCAAACTGCTGGGATTATAGGCGTGAGCCACTGTGCCCAGCTCTTGCTTGTGCTTTTAAACAGTATGCCGCACTAACCTTGTAGGGGCATCTTTAGAGTATGAGAAGGAGGAGAAGCAGTAGCAGCAGCAACAACATACATAAGGTACTTACTATAGACCAGTCACTAGCTTATGTGGTATTCTTAGAGTTAGTCCCAGTAAGGACTATTTCAATAATACACTTTTATGTTCTAAAGATTTTTCTTTTTGATGTTAGTCCTTGGGTTGAAACTTTCTATTTTTCTTCCTTCTTGTCTGGTTAATAACAAAAGGGTATATGGCCTGTGAGACTTGAAAGAGCAGTAGGAAGTGTGAGAATATCATGGGAGCAGGGAGGCAGAAGCTCCGGAACATCCCCAGGGCTTCCACCTGCAGCTCAGGGATCCTTTGGCCAGGGCTTCATGGAGCACTACTTTAGCTAATCATGGCACAGTTTAGGGGTGGGAGAGCTGCTCAGTTCTAACCTGACTCCTACTCAAGATTCCTAACCTGACTCTTCTGTTACATAGGATGACTGGCTGCCTTGGATTGGGTGGCGGGGGGCTCCAGGATCGTCGGATTTCTCCTTCCACTCCTGGCTGCCTCTTTAATAAAGTAGGGTGCAGCAGCATGCTGGGGACAGGAGCAGGTGGGACCCAGTGTCAACTGCCCTTTAGAGTGGTTGTTCTATGTGAGACTGTTTGCTGTTACGAGAAAGGGCCCTGGATTACTATGTTTTTAGAGCTCTTCAAAATCTTTCTCTCCACTTTCTCTTCAAGCAGCCAGTGTACTTTCTTCCAGCAAGATTCTTTCTGATTTACCACGTCCGTTTGGCTAAAGTCTGGGAAAACAAATGATGAAATATACGTGTATTGTTTACTAAGGAAGAATCATGTGACTAAAGGGCTTTGCTTCTTTTTGTAAGGTTTAGAGAGAGGTGCTGTAGACAGGTGGGTCTGGGGGCCTTTCCTGCCCCTGACCCCCACACTTTTATTTCCAAGTTCTCAACTGTGTTGGCTCTTAGTCAGTTTGGGCTGTTATAATAAACTACCACAGACTGGGTAGCTTAAACAAGAGACAGTTCGGGAGGCTGGGAAGTCTGAGATCAGGGTACCAGACTGGTCAGGTTCTGCTTGAGGGCCCTTTTTCCTGGTTTGCAGATGAGAGAGGAAACGACCTCTGTGTCTTTTCTTG
The DNA here is from genome assembly GCF_000001405.40 of Homo sapiens. Lineage (NCBI taxonomy): Eukaryota > Metazoa > Chordata > Mammalia > Primates > Hominidae > Homo > Homo sapiens. The sequence goes on along the minus strand of NC_000022.11, from coordinate 33,042,094 downwards.
TAAATGCATTAACCCCATCATGAGGGCTCTATCCTTGTGACCTAATCAGCTTCCAAAGGCCTCATCTCTAAATACCATCACGTTAGGGATTGCGGTTTTAACATATGAATTTGGGGGACACACACATTCAGTCCTTAGCAGCTGAGTGGTTTAGTTTGCTGCACAGCAGTCCTCCAGGTAATGCAGGAGTACAGCATGATCTGGGAGAGAGGTTTGAGCTTTCCTTTGGCAGGGGGAGAGAGGGAGTACCTGGGAGGCTTCCTGAGCAAGCTAATATCTGAGCTGGGTTTTGAAAGATGCTTGGAGCTCATTAATCCAATGGGGTGGGGAGGGATTTTGGAGTGAATGAAAAAGGATGGCATTCCAGGAAGCAGACACAGCATGTGCAGAGGCATGACATGCATGGCAGGTAAGAGGATAAGTGTCAGTGAGCTACTGTGCAAGGATGCCCTAGTGGGAGATGAAGCTGGCACAGGTTAGAAAGAGTTCCTAGTGCAGGCCGGGCATGGTGGCTCATGCCTGTAATTCCAGCACTTTGGGAGGCCGAGACGGGCGGATCACAAGGTGAGGAGATCGAGACTCATCCTGGCTAACACGGTGAAACCCCATCTCTACTAAAAATCCAAAAAAATATTAGCTGGGTGTGGTGGCGGGCACCCAGCTGTAGTCCCAGCTGCTCGGGAGGCTGAAGCAGCAGAATGGCGTGAACCTGGGAGGTGGAGCTTGCAGTGAGCCGAGATCGCGCCACTGCACTCCAGCCTGGCGACAGAGCAAGACTCCGTCTCAAAAAAAAAAAAAAAGAAAGAGTTCCTAGTGCTACATGGGAGCTTTGGACATTGTATTAGTTCACTGTCATGCTGCTAATAAAGGAGTACCCAGGCTGGGCCCAGTGACTCACGCCTGTAATCCCAGCCCTTTGGGAGGCCGAGGCAGGCAGACCATGAGGTCAGGAGATCGAGACCATCCTGGCCAACATGGTGAAAACCCATCTCTACTAAAAATACAAAAGAAAATTAGCTGGGGATGGTGGCGCATGCCTGTAATCCCAGCTACTCGGGAGGCTGAGGCAGGAGAATCGCTTGAACCAGGGAGTTGGAGGTTGCAGTGAGCCGAGATCATGCCACTGCACTCCAGCCTGGCAACAGAGCAAGACTCTGTCTCAAAAAAAAAAGACATACCCAAGACTGGGCAATTTATAAAGGAAAGAGGTTTAATTGACTCACAGTTCAGCATGGCTGGGGAGGCCGCAGGAAATTTACAATCATGGTGGAAGGGCAAGCAAACACCTTCTTCGCAAGGCAGCATGAAGGAGAAGTGCAAGCAGGGGAAATGACAGACGCTTATAAAACCATGAGATGTTGTCAGACTCACTCATTATCACGAGAACAGTATGGGAAAAACCACCCCCATGATTCAATTACGTCCACCTGGTCTCTCCCTTGACACATGGGGATTATGGGGGATATGGGAGTTACAATTCAAGATGAGATTTGGGTGGGGACACAAAGCCTAACCATATCAGACATATATCGAGGAGCAACTGTAGTGTTTCAGTAGGGAATGATGTGGTTAAACTTACGTTTGAAAAAAATGTGACAGTCAGTGATATGGAAGTGGATTTGAAGGAGAACTAATTGGATGCATGGAGAGCAGTGGATGCATAGTTTTGCTGTGGTCCATGAAAGGCATGATGCATGTTTGAGCTAGGGATTGAGAGAGATTAAGGGAGGGTCAAAGCATCCCTTTCATTCGTCCACACTCTCAGAATAAACTCATTTTCTCTGTTATGGGGCTGAATGGAGGTGAATTTGGTAGGATCCCTGTCCTTAAAAAGTGTATAATCAGGCTGAGGCGGGAGATCACGGGGTCAGGAGATTGAGACCATCCTGGCTAACATGGATCTCTATTAAAATACAAAAATCTCTATTAAAAATACAAAAAATATATATTAAAAATACAAAAAAAATTAGCTGGGTGTGGTGGCGGGCAGTGAGCCGAGATCGCGCCACTGCACTCCAGCCTGGGCGACAGAGCGGGAGACTCCATCTCAAAAAAAAAAAGAAAAAAAAAGTGTATAATCTAGAGACATCTAAGAAACCAGTGATAATACAAGAGATGGAGCCACTCAGGTTTTTTGTTTCACAAATATCTTTTGACCATCTACTATGAGCTAACACTTTCTGGTAGGTGCTGGATGTATGACAGTGAAAAAAATAAGCAAAAATCCCTGTCTTTGTTTAGGTCACATACAAGTTGAAAGGGCACAGAAGTAATACACTACAAAAGTAAATATATAATATGTTAGATAATGGGTATGACAGAGAAAATACAGGGAAAGAGAGAGGGGTGTTGAGAGGAGGGCTACCATCTTTAAAAAGGTGACATTTGAGGCCAGGCGCGGTGGCTCACGCCCGTAATCCCAGCATTTTGGGAGGTCAAGGTGGGCGGATCACATGAGGTCACATGAGGTCAGGAGTTCGAGACCAGCCTGGCCAACATGATGAAACTCCGTTTCTACTAAAAATACAAAAAATTAGCCGGATGTGGTGGCAGGCACCTGTAATCACAGCTACTCAGGAGGCTGAGGCAGGAGAATCGCTTGAATGCAGGAGAATCGCTTGAACCCAGGAGGCGGAGGTTGCAGTGAGCCAAGATCATGCCACTGCACTCCAGCCTGGGTAACAGAGTGAGACTCTGTCTCAAAAAAAAAAAAAAAAAGTCACATTTGAATAAAGAGCTTAAGGAAGTAAGAGAATGTTATAAATATAAAAATATACAGGCTAAAACACCTCCTGGAGGCATCATGGCATAGTAGCTTTGAGCATGGACTTTAGGGTTAAGTAGACCTAAATTTGAATGCTGGCTCCACACCGTACTGCCCGGGTGACCTTAGACATGCTTTCTCACCCTGTTAAGTGTTGATGTCATTATCTATACGATAGGATTGGTGACACCCATCTCCCAGGATTGCCAGGAGCCTGGTGCACAGAGTCCTTGCTGAATAGCTCATCTTCAGAATGTTGAGGATGAGTCAGATGGAGGCATCTCAAAGGCTTTATGGAGAAGGGGCCCTGGGAGATGAGCCCTGGAGGACTTGAAGCAGGAATTCCTGCCCAGAACTCTCCGCTCTGCTGTTGCAGGTTTTGCAGAACAGAGTGCCAGGGACTTGGAGCAGAGATGCAGAAGCCCCAGAACAGCCCCGGGGCTTCCGCCTGCAGCTCAGGGATCCTTTGGCCAGGGTTTTGTAGTGCACTACCTCAGCTAATCATGGCACAGTTTAGGGGTGCGAGAGCTGCTCAGTTCTAATCTGACTCTTAAGATTTCCAACTTGACTCTTCTGTAAAATAGGATGACTGGCTGCCTTGGGTTTGGTGGCAGGGGCTCCAGGAACGTTGGATTTCTCCTTCCACTCCTGTCTGCCTCTTTAATAAAGTAGGGTGCAGCAGCACACTGGGGATGGGGCAGTCTTGGGTCCTGATGTCATGCCCAGTTCTGTGGCCCTAGAGGCTTTCTTGAAGGCCCCCAGAGCTTGCTTTTCTGCCATTCTGAGAAGGATTGTGTCCCTAAGCAGGTCTGGACCCTGGGGGAAAGGATGTGAGAATTGCTCAATCGGAGCTCACAGTGGAGGTTAAGAGAGCGTGGGTGGGCTGGAAGGCAAGTCGGCTTTTCTTCAGCAGCTCAACCAGACAGTGCAGCAGGAATGACTGTTTTCTGCAGAGCTGGAGGAGGCAGCGCCGCAGCAGTAATCCCCATCCTGGCTGTGAAAAATCCCTTCCTTGCCTGCAAGTGACAGCAGCTAGGGATCTTTTGGTGGAATCTGATGCCAGGATGTGAAGGCTCTGCTTCCCTCTGCCTATGGCGTGCCATCAACCTTAGGGATCCTGGTGCCTGGCCTAAGGGGGCATTACTGCTGTTTGGCAAAATCCCAGCCACTTCCCAGGGCTCAGGAAGCAGCTTTTGGTGGGGAGCCTGGGAGGCAGCAGCCCCTGATGAGAAAGAGAGCCAGCAGGGCACCGGATTGCCTGGGTATTCTTTTAATCTAGTTCTTTTTTCTGGTTTCATTTTCTCGATCTTTTGTTTTTATTCCTTTTTTTTTTTAACTTCATGCATTCTTATTTTATTCATTCACTGCATTTTTCTTCTTTACTTTCTTCCATCCTAATTTTTACCTTTCTTTTTCTCTTTCTTCTCCTTTTCTTTCCTGCCTTTCATCTACTTATTTGTTAATTCAGTATTAATCCATCTAGCATTTTCTCAGCCTCTTGCTAGAGCTGGAGGTGCAGGTAACACCTTCCTTTCCCTCTGGAGGAGCTCAGACACTGTGGGAATGTGGGGAGAAGACACAGGCAAGCAGGCAGGAGTGGTAGTTAAAAGCCTGTTAGTTCTAGACTCTGCAGTCCCACCAGTGGCTTCTTCACTGGGTTACCTTAGGCAAATTACCGAACCTTTCTGAGTCTCGGATGCTTCAGCGTAAAATCAGGATAACAGAAGCTTCTTCATTGGATTGCTGGAAACACTAGAGAGAGTGCAGGGAAACTGCCTAGCCAAGTGCCTGGCATGTACAAGAATGCAACAGACTATGATTAATATAGTTTGACAAACACTATTAGAAATCAGGATAAAGGAAAGCAGAGAAATAAAATACTTTTCTGGGTCTGGTTCTTGCTCTTGAAAGTGAGAATCAAGATAGGCACCTGAGTTCTTCAGGACTGAGCCCCTCAATTTCAAATGAGGAAAGAAGCCCAGTGGTAGGTTGTATGGGGAGAAAGGAGCTCAGACTTTGGAGCCAGAACATCTGGGCCCAAAAAATCTGGGCAGCAAGCGGGCAAGTGACGCCACCTTTCTGAGCCTTAGTTTTCTCCATATGTGAAGCAGAGATAATAACAAAGGATTGCCATACATGGGAGGAAAAAACCCACTTTTTCTGCTATTTGTCTTAGGTGCATTGGCTGCGGCCCTGTAAATAAACTAATGAAAGATTAACAAGAGAAAAACAAACAGAAGTTTATGAGGTGCATATACTTAATTTATTAAGTGCAGCTGTGCATACACTTGGAAGCGCTGGGAGTTCAGTAACTCAAAGGGGTGATTGGAACTTGGGCTTGGCCGGGCATGATGGCTCACGCCTATAATCCCAGCACTTTGGGAGGCCGAGGTGGGCGGATCACCTGAGGTCAGGAGTTCAAGACCAGCCTGACCGACATGGAGAAACCCCGTCTCTACTAAAAATACAAAATTAGCCTGGTGTGGTGGTGCATACTTGTAATCCCAGCTACTCAGGAGGCTGAGGCAGGAGAATCAATTGAACCTGGGAGGCGGAGGTTGTGGTGGGCCGAGATCGCGGCATTGCCCTCCAGCCTGGGCAACAAGAGCGCAACTCTGTCTCAAAAAAAAAAAAAAAAAAAAAAAAAAAAAAGAACTTGGGCTTTACAGCATTTAAAAAAATTTTTTTAGACAAGGGACAAGACAAAGAAAAGGATTTTGAATTTCCAGGGCAGCAAATTGTGGAAAGTAAATATATGGGGAAGCTGATAGAAGCCAGTAAAGTTCGTTATATAGATGCCTCTGGTGCCTTGGGCTGATGAGGGTTTAAAGTTATCAGTGATTAATTTCTGTCCTTTCTGCTGGAGGTTTAGGGGATCAGCTTTGCAAATTTCTGTCCTGCTTTTAGGCAAACACAGGGAGGGCAGAGAGCTTTTCTTATATCTGCTTCTTCTCAACTGCCTTCAGCTCAAAATAATCCTTATGCCAAAGTGGTATATTTTGGGATAGCGTATTCTGGTCCCCTATGACAACTGAAATGAGTGACTGAAGCATAAGTCTCAATCATCGAGGTTTATGAAGGCAGCTTCAGGGCACGTCTGGGAAAAACATAAGCCACAGACACATCTGAGGCTGCTTTTCCGAGGAGGTTTTCAGGAAATTTAGTCTTTATACATTTTCTTAAAGAGGAGGAAGGCATGTAGGAAGAGGGGCAGGTAGGCGGTAAGGCAAATGCTTATACTCTTGTGAGACTTTCCTTAGTGCCCGGTAAATCTCCATTTTACATAAGATAAGGTGAATGATGAAGAGAAAAAAGGAGTAAAGGAAGAGTCAGTTATGGATGTCTCTGGGTGGTTGGAGAATGAGTCTTGACTTTGTCCTGGACCTGGGAAGATAAGCTTATAGTCAACGTTATTAGCTTATTATAATGTAGAATCAGAGCTAGACTTAGGCTGGTGCTGTGGCTCATGCCTGTAATCCCAACACTTTGGTAGACAGAAGGCAGGAGGATCACTTGAGGCCAGGAGTTTGAGACCAGCTTAGGCAACATATCAAGACCCCTGTCTCCACAATAAAAAATGAAAAATTATCTGGGCCTTGTGGTACGTGCCTATAGTTCTAGCTACTCAGGATGCTGATGTGGGAGGATCACTTGACTCCAGGAGTATGAGTCTGCAGTCAGCTGTGATCGTGCTACTGCACTCCAGCCTGGGTGACAGGGCAAGACCGTGTCTCAAATAAAAATAAAGACCTTGATTTAGATCGTAGACCTAAAGTTACATTTGGCACGTCCTTGTTTATGGGAGGGCAGCCAAGGTCACTTTTGAATGATCTTTGGGGGCAGTCCTTTGCAGATGCCTGAGGCCTTCCACCTTTCCACGGGGACCTGGCTGATGCATAATGTAACAGCTATTCATTTGGAAGAGGGTGTTGCAATGACTCAGCTTCTGGGCTTAACTGTCCCTTTTGCATAAGAAGTTTGGTGGCGGGGGGGGGGGGGGTCCCGAGATTTTTAATTTTTCTTTCCACCTACAACTGTTAGGATTAATTGGTTTAATATATGAACAAAGTTTAAAATAGTACCTAGCACTTAGGAAATGTTAAATGAATAGCTGCTATTATTATTATTATTACTATCATCGTCATCATTATCATTGTTACTGTCGCATAGAAAGCCAGTGCTGGTGACCGCCCAGCTTCCTTTAGTGACAATATGCCCACCCCACTCCTTTCCTTCAGCAGTAAAGCTGCCTGTTGCTAGCCTACAAATGGGGAACGTGTCCCCATACTTGCCACTGAGCCTGCTGTTTATGGAATTTTCTGAGCCAGTGACCAGATTGGGCTCCCAAGGTGAAGGGCACTGCAGTGGCTGCCACAGAGTCCTGCCCAGAAGGCATCAGGTATCAAAGAGAACCCTATTGATCTTGGCACCAGGAGAGGAGACACAAGGGCCGGGCAGCAGACCAGGATATCATAGTGGTTGAAGGGCTGCATCTCGAGATAGACTAGACAGATCCAAAGGCAAGATTTGCCTCTTCCCTGGTGCATGATGTTCTGCAAGTTGCTGAAGCCCCCTGAGCTTCGGTTTCCTCATGCGTAAAATGGGGTTAAAAATAGTTTTTGCTTTACGGGGTTGTGTGAGGAATGATGATATGGTGCTTGTAATTCGCTCAGTGCTTGAGTAAACAGCCACATGATGGTTGTTCTTATTATTTAGTTATTTAGGAGAAAAATGCTCCCCGTCTGGAGAGAGGGTGAAGTGAGTCACTAGAAAGTAGTACATACTGGCCGAGCGTGGTGGCTCACCCCTGTAATCCCAGCACTTTGGGAGGCCGAGGTGGGCAGATCACAAGGTCAGGAGTTTAAGACCAACCTGGCCAACATCGTGAAACCCCGTCTCTACTAAAATATAAAAATTAGCTGGGGGTGTGGCGATGGGCACCTGTAATCCCACCTACTCGGGAGGCTGAGGTAGGAGAATTGCTTGAACCCAGGAGGCGGAGGTTGCAGTGAGTCAAGATCGTGCCACTGCACTCCAGCCTAGACAACAGAGCAAGACTCTGTCTTGAAAGAAAGAAAGAAAGCAAGTAGTACATACAGATATCCTGAGAACTTGTCTTTTAATTGTGTGTGTGTGTTTTTTTTTAACACAGAGTCTTGCTCTGTCACCTAGGTTGGAGAGCAGTGGCACAATCTCGACTCACTGCAACCTCCGCCTCCTGGGTTCAAGTGATTCTCTTGCCTCAGCCTCCCGAGTAGCTGGGATTACAGGTGTGCACCATCACACCGGGCTAATTTTTGTACTTCTAGTAGAGATGGGGGTTTCATTGTGTTGGCCAGGCTGATGTTGAACTCCCAACCTCAGGTGATCCACCCGCCTCAGCCTCCCAAAGTGCTGGGATTATAGGCGTGAACCACCGTGCCTGGCTAATTGTGATGGTTTTTAATTGTGATCATTGTACCTTGGAGACCTGTGTTGTGGCTTTGGCCTTGCGTCTGCTTGGCTGAGTGACCCTGGACAAGTCTGTTCCCTCGTCTGCACCTAGTCTCCCCGTTGGCTAATCAGAGTTGCAGAGGCTGGAGTAGGAGTGCCACAGTGCGCAGTGCTATTATTCCACAGGAATCTCTCTCCCAGAAACTGTTTCTACCAGCCCAGAGCCCATGACCTCCTGGACACCCAGAGTCCCCCAAGACATTGGCCCCTTGTGAGTTCTGTGTGCAGGCCCTGGGTGAGGCAGTGAGACTAGGGGGCTGAGTGAGAAGGGTCCCAGGCCATTCCATGGGGGAGTCTGACAGGAAATAAAGCCCTCTGGCTAAACAGAAAATACCGTGGGATAATGGAAGAAGTGCGTAGTTAAGGGTGAGAGGTGCTGGGGGTTACAACAGAACTCTGATGAGGTGACATTGGGGTGGGACCAAAATGACAAGGAGGGAGCAAGGAAAGAACATTCCAGGCAGGGGAACAGCCGGTGCAAAGGCCTGTGAGCAAGAAAACCAAGCTCTACAACATATTTTAAAGAAGTTTATTCTGGGCTGGGCCTGGTGGCTCATGCCTGTAATCCCAGCACTTTGGGAGGCTGAGGTGGGTGGATCACCTGAAGTCAGGAGTTCGAGATCAGCCTGGCCAACATGGTGAAAGCCGGCCAACATGGTGAAACCCCGTCTCTACTAAAAATACAAAAAATTAGCTGGGCGTGGTGGTGGGTGCCTGTAGTCCCAGCTACTTGGGAGGCCGAGGTTGCAGTGAGCTGAGGTCACACCATTGCTCTCCGGCCTCAGCAACAAGAGCGAAACTCCATCTCAAAAAAAAAAAAAGTTTATTCTGAGCACACATGGGTGACCTAGGCCTAGAGAGCAGTCGAGAGGCCCTGAGAACGTGTGCCTGAGGCCATCAGGTTACAGTTTGGTTTCATACATTTCATGGAAACAGGAAATATAAGTAAAATCATAAATCAACACATGGAAGGTATACATTGGTTCGGCACAAAAAAGCAGTACATCTTGAAGCTGGGGCGGGTGGTGTTGGGGTGCTTACAAATCATAGATGGGTTTTAGAGATTCTTTAGTTGGCAGTTGGTTGAAAGAGTCCAGCTTTGTCTAAAGGCTTAAAGGAATGCTTCAGTAAAGACACCAGAGTCAGGTTGGAAAGTAAGCTACCTTATATGGGATGAATTAAAAAAAAAAATTTAACAGGATTTTATGGTTTGTAGGGCATGACTTAATGTTTGCCTTGTGTGGCCTCAGGTCTTGTTTATAATTTGGTACCTTATTGTCACAAAGACTAAAATTTTGTTAGTCTAATGATCTTTTTAACTTTTTTTTTTTTTGAGATGGAGTCTTGCTCTGTCACCCAGGCTGGAGTGCAGTGGCACGATCTCAGCTTATTGCAACCTTCGTCTCTCAGGTTCAAGCAATTCTCCTGCCTCAGCCTCCCAAGTAGCTATTACAGGTGCCCACCACCAGGCCCAGCTAATTTTTGTATTTTTAGTAGAGACAGAGTTTCGCCATGTTGGCCAGGCTGGTCTCGAACACCTGACCTCATGTGATCCACCTGCTTCAGCCTCCCTAAGTGCTGGGATTACAGGTGTGAGCCACCATGCCCAGCATTTTTTTTTTTTTTTAAAGACAGAGCCTTGCTCTGTCACCCAGGTTAGAGTACAGTGGCACAGACTCAGGTCACTGCAACCACTGCCTCTCAAGTTCAAGCAGTTCTCGTGCCTTAGCCTTCTGAGTAGCTGGGACTACAGGCGCCCGCCACCACGCCCTGCTAATTTTTGTATTTTTAGTAGAGATGGGGTTTCACCATGTTGGCCAGGCTGGTCTCGAACTCCTGACCTCAGGTGATCCATCTGCCTCGAGCCTCTTAAAGTGCCGGGATGACAGGCGTGATCCTCCATGCCTGGCCAATGATCTCTTTTTCAACATTAATGTTGGTCCATTGTGCCTAAACTCCAAAAGGGAGGGCGTGGAATGGGACATGTCTGGCCTCCCTTCCCATCACAGCCAGGAATTCAGTTTTTCAGGTTTCTCTGGGGTCCTCTTGGCCAAGAAAGGATGCAGCCAGTTGCTTGGGGGCTTAGGATTTTAATTTTGGTTTACAGACCTGAGAAGGGCATGGGGGACAGGGGTGCTGGGGGAATGGGGTTGGCTTATTTGAGAAGAGAAAGGACAGCTCGGATGTGGAAAATGAGAAGGGGAAGAGGGCCCTCAGGCTGTGAAGGAAGCTTGAATTACCCAAAGGACAGGGGGACACAGAAGGATTAGAAGGGGGCAGCTGCCTGTGAAGAGTAAACAGGGAGAACCCGTGGGGAGGCAGGAAACCAAAGGAGAGCTGCCTTTGTCCAGTGGGGAGATGTCGGTGGCTTGGCTCCCAGTGATAACCAGGGAGTTGAAAGGAGATGGATTCCGGGGCTGTTTTAAAGATAAGGGTTGGTGGTGGTCGGGGTCTGGGAGGTGAGAGGAAGGGAGGAATCCTAGAAGACTCCTACATTTTTAGTTTGAACACCTAGTGGGGTCATTTCCTGAGATAAGGAGGGTGGGAGAGGAGCAGTTTGCAGTGGAGGTGGCAGGACCCCAGGAGTTCTGTCTTGGATGTGATGAGTTTCAGACACCTATTCACTTTGCTTTCTCTGCTTTCCAGAGGGAACTCACCCAATTACTCAGTAGGGCAGCACTCAGCCACCAGAAGCACTGCCCAGCTGGCCATCTGCCCTGCCTTAGGCAGGGGGCCGTGGGCAACTGAAGGTGGTAAGACTGAGTGCTGCCACATCCACAGCTGGTGCTCAGCAGGGCCTGTTCTCTGTGCCTGGCTCTCTATGTCTCTATCTGTTTCTCTATGTCTCTGTTTGTCTCTATCTCTCTGTGTCTGTCTATGTATATCTGTCTTTCTGTCTCTGTATCTCTATATATCTTTGTCTGTCTCTATCACTCTCTGTCTCTATCTCTCTGTGTCTATTTGTCTCTATGTATCTCTGTCTCTCTATCTCCGTCACTATCTCTCTGTCTCTCTGTATCTGTTTCTCTCTCTCTGGGGGTCTGTTTCTGTCTATCTGTCTCTACCTCTCTCTCTGTTTCTCTGTCTCTGTCTCTATCTCAGTCTCTGTGTATCTGTTTCTCTGTGGGTCTCTTTGTGTTGATCTCTCTGTCTCTCTCTGTATCTCTCTCTCTCTCTGTCTCTATCAGTCTCTATATAAGTTTCTCTGTCTCTCTGTGTTTATTTTTATCTATCTCTCTCTGTCTCTCTCTCTCTCTGTCTCTATCTCTCAGTCTCTATATATTTTTTCCGTTTCTCTGTGGGTCTCTTTGTATCTCTCTGCCTTATCTCTCTGTGTCTCTGTCACAGTCTCTCTATATCTGTCTCTCTGTGTCTGTCTCAGCCTCTCTCTCTTCTCTGTCTCTATGTATCTGGCTCTCCCTCCCCTGTCAATAGCTTCCTCCAGGTGTTTCAGATGACTGGTGTTTTCCCCTCATTTCGGTGCCTTCCTTTGTACTTCATGCATATCACAGCCCTAAGCAAGGCATCCAGAAGGTCCCCTTTGTCTCTAGGAAGGAGGGCACTTATTTGGCACCGTGTGTTTTCTTCTCCAGCAGAAAGGAGCGGCTTGTGGAGTCAGGTCTGGTTCCCAGATCTTGGCAGCGCAGGCATCTCTCATTGACGGGGTGCCTGGCCCTGCCTGCTGCTGCCTCCAACTGCCTCCAACTCAGAGTCCAAAGCCAGACTTGGTACCTTTCCCCCAAACCCACAGTGATGGGTTTGCACAGGGAACTTCAGGAACACAGACCACCTCACGTCAGGGAAGCCTTCCTAGAGGAGGTGATGAGCTGAGTGAGGATGAGTCAAAAACAGCCAACTGAAGAAAGTAGGAAAACGTAGGGAAGGGCATGCCAAGAGAGGGAACAGAGACGTGAACCTGCTGTGTGAGGGTCAGGGCGTGGGGAATGGAGCTATAAGTGCCTCTGTATAACCGAGCTAAGTTTGAAGCCCAAGAAGACAGATTCCAGGCCCCTGGGGACCCAAGGCTCGATGATGTAATGGAAAATCCGTAGGGCCTGGACTCAGTCAGAGCTGGGTTGTAATCCTAATACCATGGAGGGAAAGTGCTGCTTAGTGGTTAGGACTGTGACCACCAGAGCCAGAGAGCCTGGGTTTGAATGACAGCTCTGACACTTACTAGTTGTGTCATTTTGGGCTTCAATGTCCACATCTGTAAGGGAGAGTAATACCAGCACACCTACCTCCTAAGGCTGGAGGGAGGATGGCATGAGTTCAGGGTCAGAGCAGTGCCTGACAGAGCTGTAATTATTGTATACAAGTTGAGTGACCATAAGTAAGTTATTTATCATTTTTAGGGTTGGGCATGGTGGCTCACACCTGTAATCCCAGCGCTTTGGGAGGTTGAGGTGGGAGGATTTCTTGAGGCCAGGAGTTCCAGACCAGCCTGGGCAACATAGCAAGGCCTTGTCTCTACAAAAATAAAAATAAACATTAAAAAAGTTGGAGGTGGTGGCCTGTACTTGTAGTCTTGACTACTTGGTAGGCTAAGGCAGGAGGATTGCTTAAGCCAAGGAGTTTGAGGTTAGAGTGAGCTAAGATTGTACCACTGCACTCCAGCCGGGGCAACAAAGTGAGACCCCGTCTCTTAAAAAAAAAAAAAAAAAGTCATCTTTGGACCTCAGTGTCCTCATCAGTAAAATGAGGTGATAGCACTTCCTGACTTCCTGGCCAGGGTTGTCGTGAGAGTTGGGGATCATCTAGGGACTGTCTGAGCAGTGCCTGATTCTTTTTTTTTTTTGAGACAGAGTCTCGCTCTGTCACCCAGGCTGTAGTGCTGTGGCGGGATCTTGGCTCACTGCAAGCTCTGCCTCCCGGGTTTACACCATTCTCCTGCCTCAGCCTCCCGAGTAGCTGGGACTACAGGCGCCCGCCACCACGCCCGGCTAGTTTTTTGTATTTTTAGTAGAGACGGGGTTTCACTGTCTTAGCCAGGATGGTCTCGATCTCCTGACCTCGTGATCCACCCGCCTTGGCCTCCCAAAGTGCTGGGATTACAGGCGTGAGCCACCGTGCTGGCCACAGTGCCTGATTCTTAAAAGAGGCTCAGTTAATGGTAGCAACCCCACCACCACCACCACCACCACCATCACCACCACCACCACCACCACCACCACCACCACCACCACCACCACCATCATGGTTCTTATTATACTTCCTAGTGGGCTGTGCCAGCCCCTCCTTGCTGCTTAATCCCTTCCTCTGCCCAGCAAGCGTCATGGATCATCCAGCCTGGAGACTGGAAATTACAGGCTATAAATCTGGGCCGTGGTTGCCCTGGAAAGATGATCTGCCTTTTGCAGGGCAGCAGCAATTCAAATGCTTTGCTGGCTGTGCGGGCAGCTGCATCCTCAGCCTTCCCCTAAGTCACATGAAAGGCCAGCAGCACGGCCTTCTCTGAAGCTGGTGCGCATTAGCATTCCCCACAGATGGCTTCGGGGCTAGGCGCTGAGGAGGAAGGAGCTGTGATAAATCCAGGGAAATCCTGAGGCTGTCCCACTCTCTGCTCCCTCCACTTATGTGGAATTGGATTTCCACTTGTGCTCCTCACTGATGATGAGACTGGAGCCAGTGTGCTGGAGGGGAAAGGGCAGGCTGTGGAAACCACGGGCTGGGATTCCTCTCTGCTCTGTCCTTGTCTGCTTCTGATCTGGTATGTGTCCCGGGAAGGCAACATTCTGTAATTAAAACTGGACCCAGGACCTAGACTGCCTGGGTTTGAATCCCAGCTCCACCACTGAACTAGACACACAGCCTTGGGGAAGGCACTTCATCTCCCTGTGCCTCAGCCTTCACGTCTGTTAGATGCAAAGAGTGTTGATAAGCGTTTGTATTTGTACAACTCATAAGGTTGTTATGAGGATGAAATGAACCAACGTTCAATAAAACTCACCTCTCTTTGCTCAGCTCTTTGTCTCTTCACTGATGAAATGAAGTTGTTGAACTGGATCCTCTGAAGATTCTAGTTGAGAATTTTCGGCACAACAATGTGTGAAGTGAGCTCTGCTTTTGCCACTGACCTACTATTTGATCTTGGATGAGGAACTTAACCCCTGTGAAGTTTTCTTTCTCTCTCTCTCTTTCTTTCTTTCTCTTTCTTTCTTTTCTTTCTTTTTCTTTCTTTTCTTTCTCTCTCTCTCTCTGTCTGTCTGTCTGTCTTTCCTTCTTTCTCTCTTTCTTTCTTTTTTCAGAGTCTCACTCTGTCGCCCAGGCTGGAGTGCAGTGGTGTAATCTCGGCTCACTGCAAACTCTACCTCCTGGGTTCAAGTGATTCTCATGCCTCAGCCTCTGGAGTAGCTGCAATTACAGACGTGAGCCACCATGCCCGGCTAATTTTTGTATTTTTAGCAGAGATGGGGTTTCACCATGTTGGCCAGGCTGGTCTCAAACTCTTGACCTCAGGCGATCTGCCTGCTTCTGACTCCCAAAGTGCTGGGATTACAGGCGTGAGTCACCGTGCCCGGCCTGAAGTTTTCATTTTGTTTGTTTAAAGGAAATGATAATACCTACATGACAGATTCTAGTTAATACCTGAATTAGAATATATACGTCATATATATATATGTAGATAGATATATATCAGAGTGTTTTGCACTTTATAGGTCCTCAGTAAATGACAGCAATGAATTTGACATTGGAAACACTATAGAGGGAAGTTCTATATTGAGTAAGAAATCACATCAACTCTCAAGTCTGTTTCAGATTCAAATTTAGTTCCTGAAAAAGCAGCTCTGATTTAATGGAGAAATGGAAGATACAGAACCAAGAAGGAGGAAAATAAAGAAGGGAGGCAGGAGGGAAGAAGGAAAGAAAATAAAGAAGGGAAGAAAGACGGAGTTCCCAAGAACGAGCCTCTGGTGAAGTGCCCTTTTCTAATGGGATAAAAACAGAAAAGATGGAGTTTGTGCAGTATACAGTCGCCACGTTTTCTCAACAACATCAGGATACCAATGCTTTCTGGGTTTTCTTTGTCAGGGATTGAGGGAGCATTTTCAGCTCTGATTCTGGAAATGGCTAGGGTGTGGGTTCCCAACCAGGTCGATGGGCATGGCAGCCATAGCTCTGGGAACTAGGAGTTGGGGAGTTGGTCCTCCCAGGGGCAACAGGACCAGTCAAGGAGTGAGATTCAAGGCAGAGCCTAGACACTGGGACTCACCGGATTACTGGGAACTGGCTTCATAGAGAGCCCAACTGGTCAAAGGAAAATGAGGAACCCAGGCTAAGGTCAGCCCTTGGTTCAGTCAGATACTGTATTTTTCAGGTAATAGGGTGTAGTATTTTGACCTGAAGATAATGCAACAGCCCAGGGTACCATTGGACATCAAGCTCTGAGTCTGACTGGCAAAAAAGGTGATCTGGAGCACTCCAGGAGCCTTAGTCCTGGTGGCTGGTTTTGGAAAAGTGAGTTGATCATCAACCCTTTCAGACAGGGCCACAGAGAGTATCAATCAGAATTTTCCCAGAAAATGGAGAAAACCTCCATTTATTCTGTTATTAACTAAGGGCCTACAAGGGGCTATGGGTTCAAAGCTGAAATACAGATACACCGTCAGCAAGCCTGAGATCTGAACCAATGTTCACTATCAAGAGTTACTGTAATAAACAACACAGACCCCCAATGGCATGAATGAAAGGGATTTGTTTTGCTCATGTGCCTTCAGGTTGGCTAGGAGTTCACTCTTCTTGGCTGGGCTCTAAGATGCAGCCATCTAGTTGGCTCTAAGGTGCAGCTTGAGTCCAGGTCTCCTCTCACTTGCTCCTTGGATTCGTGGGACAGCCAGGACATGCTTTTCTCATGGCAGTGACAGAGGTGCAAGAGGGCAAGTAGAAACATGGGACGTCTCTTTGGCTCATGGTTCAAAACTGGTCACTATCAAGGCTCCCCTGATTAATCAAAACTGGTCACATGATGGGGCCTGGTGCAGTCACATGACTACCCAAAGTCAGTGGGCAGGAGAGTCACTCAGCTTCTACTGGGAGAACTGAAAACTCACTTGGCAAACTGTAGACCTTGGGGGCTGATGAAGAATTGTGGCTAATAATTCAAACTGTAAATTGCCCTCCCCAACATAAGCATATTTATTTATAAATCATGAATACTGAGAAAGTTGCAGATACCAGGATGAAATCTTTTTTTTTTTTTTTTCCAGACGGAGTGTTGCTCTGTCACCCAGGTTGTCACCCAGTGGTGCGATCTCAGCTCACTGCAGCCTCGGCATCCCAGGTTCAAGCGATTCTCCTGCCTCAGCCTCCTGAGTAGCTGGGATTACAGGCACCTGCCACCATGCCCAGCTAATTTTTGTATTTTTAGTAGAGACCAGCTTTCTTTTTTTTTTTTTTTTTTTTTGAGACGGAGTCTTGCACTGTCACCCTGGAGTGCAGTGGCGCAACCTCCACCTCCTGGGTTCAAGCGATTCTTCTGCCTCAGCCTCCCAAGTAGCTGGGACTACAGGCATGCACCACCATGCCTGGCTAATTTTTGTATTTTTAGTAGAGACGGGGTTTTACCATATTGGCCAGGCTGGTCTCGAACTCCTGACCTCATGACCACCCGTCTCGGCCTCCCAAAGTGCTGGGATTACAGGCGTGAGCCACCATGCCTGGCAGTAGAGACCAGGTTTCACCATGCTAGCCAGGCTGGTCTTGAACTCCTGACCTAGTGATCCACCCACCTCAGCCTCCCAAAGTGTTGGGATTACAGGCATGAGCCACTGTGCCCACCAAAATAATTTTTGTCAGACTCAGACAAAATGGGGCCAGAAAGGAGAGGAGACTCATACTTACCTGTCTGAGATGAGAACTGTTTTCAAGGACTTTCTAAAATCACTTTCACGTCCTTCACGCATCTCCTGCTTTGATAAATCACTCGACATTCTTTAGGACTGCAGTAATTCAGATAAGATGTTCTCGGAAGAACACTTGCCCAGTAACGGCATCTCCCCCAACGAACTAACAACAGCCTCTGGAACCAATGAACTGTCTTTCTAAGCAGCTTATGTAAATCTCTCATTGCTATAAAAGCTCCCCTTTATCCTTCCCTCATTGAGTGCACTGGTGGCTTGTCATTTCATGCATTCCGGATTATAATCTTTATTGTATTCCAGGACAAACCCAACATAGCTAGAGAGACTTTTCTCTAGTGTCTTTTAAGATTGACAATACTTTACTAATATATTGTGTCCATAAAATGTACATGCCAAAAAGAAATTTAAGGGTGAGATCAAAGATTGGAATGAAAGTGCTAACCATTTTTCCCTGTACTCCAATGTACCATCTTGGAAATCCCTAGGGGACAAGTGTCCCATTTTGGAGATCAAGACCAGCTGCAGTGAATCATTTGGGTCATTTAGAGAGCTTGATCACATGCAGATTCCAGGCTACTACTTTTCCAGCTTGTGGAATCAGAGCCTCTGGAGAGGAAGCCTGGGAATTTGTATTGGTGAGAAAGTTCCCCAGATGATATGGGCGCATATTAGAGTTTGATGCTTACATTAAAAAAGCCATAGGTCTGTGATGGAAAGAAGCTCAAGAGTGGCCTCTAAGAACACTGGAATTGCACTCCACCATACCCAGTCTGGAGGGTGCTGGTGGGTGGTCAGGAAAGCCATTCTGAATGATTGATACAGAGTTGAGTTCTGAGAAACAACAAGACCTAGTCATGCCACAAAAGAGAAGGAGGCTGTGCCCGGCAGACATTGCTGCCCGTGGAAAGAGCTGTCATTGAGAGAGTGCCTTCCTTGCTCAGGGAACGTATGGTATCCTGAGTGTCCACACTCAGGAGAGGATCTAGCCCAGAGAGGCCAGCGTTCTAGATGATCACCAAGGTGGACACCTCTCCAGCTTCAGTTTGGAACCAAAAAGTCCAGAAATAATATTGTGAGATAGACTAGAATACATATATGATTGATTTTAGAGTAGGTGAGTATTGCTAAAAATCATTGAAATTTATTTTGAAGGGTTCATCTGGAGCAACAATCACAGAGGGGCCCAGGTGACACTTGAGCTCCAGACCTCACCTTATCAAGGGCTTCCATTTGGATTCTGTTTGTTTGAGACAGCGTCGCACTGTGACCCAGAGTGTTTAGAATCATGCAGATTGTGCAGAGACACAATCATGACTCACTGCAGCCTCAACCTCCCAGGCTCAAGCAATCCTCCCACCTCAGCCTCCTGAGTTGCTGCGACCACAGGCATGTGTCACCACCCATGGCAAAGTTTTTGATTTTTTTGTGGAGACTGTGTATTAGTCCATTCTCATGCTGCCAATAAAGATATACTTGAAACTGTGTAATTTATAAAGGAAAGGGGTTTAATGAACTTCCAGTTCCACATGGCTGGGGAGGCCTCACAATCGTGGTGGAAGGTCAAGGAAGAGCAAAGGCATGTCTTTCATAGCAGCAGGCAAGAAAGTGTGTGCAAGGGAACTCCCCTTTTATAAAACCATCATGTCTCATGAGACTTATTCACTACCACAAGAACAGCATGGGAAAGACCTGCCCCCATGATTCAGTTACCTCCCACTGGGTCCCTCCCATGACACATGGGGATTTTCACAGTTCAAGTAAGATTTGGGTCGGGACACGGAGCCAAACCGTATCAGGCAGGGTCTCCCTGCGTTTCCCAAGCTGGTCTCAAACTCCTGGACTCAAGCAATCCTCCTGCCTTGGCCTCTCAAAATGGTGGGATTACAGGCATGAACCACCATGCCTGGCCACTTAGATTTTTGACATGACCTTCAGATGAGGGTCCTGATAAGCTAGAGGCAATCCAGCATGATTATTAGATAATTCAAAGCTTGGGCCCCAGTCCTGGCTAGTGCTGCCTGTAGGGCTCTATAAATTCTGTTCGTAAATAAATCCTGTGAATATTTTTTGGAAAATTCAGTTATTGTTACCTTATAATCTTAGGAAGTTAAATGCTTTAATTTGCTAAAGGTAAGTGTTCATTTACATGAAAATTTTTTGGGACCTTGTTTTGGCATTTCTGTATTTGAATATATTTCAGTTTGTGGGAGTGGTTGCAAATAAATGGAAGAATCTCGTCTCCTCTCTTGACTTCGAGGAGACCCTCTCCCACAAAATTTCCTGACACCCTGGGGTGTTCTCCAACCAGAGGAGGGAGTTGTTTGTGCTCACTCACCTACAAATCCTGTTTCCAAAGCCCAAATTCTTCTTGTCTGGGGACCCACGGTGTCCCACTCACGAGAACAATGATGCTACCCACAGGAGATCAAGGCCTGTGTGGGTGGATTTGAACTCATCAAAGACAGTGCATGTTTTCCTGTTGATGTGGCTGGAAAAGAGCTTTGGGGTCAAAAGGGCCAGCAGGTCTGTGTGTGAGAAAGGAGCAGGATGGAGCTGCTTCCTCAGCAGGTGCATGTTGGACCTGCTCTTCAGGAAGTTAAGCATCTTTTAGCTTTGCAGCTGGAGTGACACAGTCTACGGAGTTCTCAGCCTGTCCCTAGACTTCACTGCCTATGCTCATTAATACATTGCTAAAGCCCAGGTTATGTTGTCTCCATGAATTTTAAAATTTTCTGCTTGTGCAGAGGGGATTTTAGCATTTCAGGATTAATTACCTAAATACTGATTCCTAATAGGGAAGGAAAAAAATTGTTTTAGCCCTCATCGAGTGGAGAATTTATAAGCCGTGTTGTGTTTACATGGGGGACAGGGAGAATCAGTCAGTCCTTTGCATTATTCCAATTTTCGTTCAACTTAGGTTTATGTGTCAGGCACTGTGACAGCTGCTTTCTTTTGTATAATCACAGATTTAATCTTCCCAAACAACAAGTGAAGATAGTTTAACTTCATCCTTGTTGTTTTAAACAGGTTTACTTAACAAATATATATTGAACCTCTACTATGTGCTAGGCACTGTTTCTAGGTGCTTAGAGTACATCAGTGGACAAGTCAGACGATGGTCTCTCTCCCTGGGGAGCTTACATTCTATGAAAGGGAACAGAAAATGAAGAATAAGCAAAAAAAAAAAAAAAATAAGTTACAGTATATAGTTTATAGAAGATGGTGCATGCTATGGAAAAAAAGAACAAGTAGGATCCAAAGTACCAGACAGTGGCAGTCAGAGGGGAGGCTTCACTGAGAATGTGACATTTCAGCAGGACCTGAGGGAGAGGTGGGTGGGCCACGCATGTGTCTGTAGACAGAGAGTTCCAGATGAAGGAACAGACAGTGCAAAGGCAACTAATGCACAGGAAGTTCAATCACTGGAATTCATCTTCTTTCTTTGTTATCTAAGAAATGTGCCAGGCCTTGAATATTTCTTATCTAATGTACCATTGTAGGAGAGCCAGGTGTTAGGCTGTGAAACACTACGTCATCAAGATTAAAAAGCAATTGTATGGGGGGTGATGGAACTCTTCCATATCTTGGTAGTGGTGGTTCCCTGAATGTGCTAAAACTCATAGAACTATACACCCCCAAAGTCTATTTTATTCTATGTTAACTTAAAAAATAAACATTTGGAAAAGCACTTTAGTGCACTTGATTTTGGTCTGCTCAAAGACCTGTGAAGTAGGAAGGGCAGGGTATTGGTATCCCCACTTTGCAGATGAAGAACCCGTGACTTAGATGTCACTGAGCTGCAAGAGGCAGAGGTGGGGCTCAAAGTCAGATCCATGCCAAAGCTCATTCTCATGTAAATACTGCACCTGCCGTGTTGCCTTCCAAACTAACCACACTGTCAGACTTTCTGGCAATGGGAAACACATTGTCTAAAAAAAAATCGGAATAATAATAGCAGCTGACACAGATTGTTTACCATGTGCCAAGCACTGTTTTAGATACTTGGCATATGTTAAGTTGCAGGAACTCTATGAGGTAGGTACTATTATACCCATTTTGCAGATAAGAAAACTGAGGCACAGAGAGGCTAAGTAATTTTCTCGAGGCTTTGTAGGTGGTAGATAGCAAAATTGGGATTGGAACCCAAGCAACCTGGTCCCAGGATCCATGAACTTAACCTTCAAGCTTACTGCCTCTGTCTACCTGTGTCCAGCACCAGAGTGCTGAGGCCATTGTAGTCCTTAGCCTGGGTTTGGGAGGGGGCTTGCACTTGAAGAGTCCCTTTTATATAGGATTTGTTTTCAAAGTGGTATAGGTTGGCCTTTTGTATGACCCAATCTTGCAAAAGAAATTTCTCCCCTTTTGCTTGTCATGGTGCCCAAAGTATCATCAATAGAGTCACCTCAGTGAATCTTAAAGACTGAGCAAAAAGATTGCTTTCAGGCCTTATACCTTATACCATTGGAAGAATCATTTTAATAGCGTGATTGTATTGAGGTGCTGGTACTCTGGGCTGGGCATCTGGCCTGTCCTCCTCTTCAGACACCCTCTCTTATTCTTAAATACCCCATCTCCTATGTCCTGAGGCTTCTCTGAATTAGAGGCTCCAATGACAAGGTCCTGCCAAGAGATCTGATCTTAGGGGTGAGGTATTGAGAAGAAGAAGAAGTGAGGAAGATGGGTTTTGAAAGAGGTACAGGATCCAGAAATAAACCTCACCACTTTCTCCATTTTCCTAGGATTGGGTCTATGTGAACAAACACGTTTCCATGGTTAACTATTCAACTGAATACTTCTCCTCTGGAGGAATTAAATCTGAAGGTGTTTGGTTAAATGCTTTGGGGCCTCTATGTGACTGTGGGGCCTCTGTGTTCAGAGTCTCTAAGCATTAATGACTCTCAGGGATGGTTGAAGTCAGGAATAACAATTCTGCATCCTGATGATATTGTAAAGATACCACTACTAAAAACGATGTTTCATTACTATTATTTGTATAATCATTCATTATTTCAAAAGCACGTCTGTGCATTCTTTCATTTGATCTTCCCAGTAGCTTCATGTGGATTGCTAAGAATAAGCAATGGGGCTGGGCGTGGTGGCTCATGCCTACAATCCAAGCACTTGAACTCAGGAGTTGAAGACCAGCCTGAGAAACATGGTGAAACCCCTCCTCTACAAAAAATACAAACATTAGCTGGGGGTGGTGGCACGTGCCTGTAGTCCCAGCTACTTGTGGGGCTGAGGCGGGAGGATGCAGTGAGCCAAGATCGCGCCACTGCACTCCAGCCTAGACCCAGTCTCAAAAACAAAAGCAAAACCAAAAACAAACAACAACAAGAAAATCAACTGTAATAAATAAATAACAGCAGGAGCTAGTACATGTAGTGCCTGACATGTCAGGCCTTGCACTGTGTCACATCAGTTATCTCATTCAGTGTTCATATCAATTTGTAAAGTAGCCGTTATTTTTTATTCCTGTTTTACAGATGAGGAAACTGAGGCACGGAGGTTGAATAAGCCACCCCAACTCTCATAGATATTACATGAGTAAGTGGCAGAGCTGGGATTGGAACCAGAGTCTGTCTGCCTTTGAAACCTGTGCTCCCAGTTACAGGTTTCATGGCCTCTCTAGGTATCCAGGCAGTGAAGGAAAAGGGGAATAAGATGCAGTATTCCGGGCAGAGGGAAAAGTATATACAAAGGATATGGACTTTTGGAAGAGCATGACTCATTAGAAGAGTTTCATCCTGCATGGCCAAAGTAGCAAGGAAAACCTTGAAGAAGATGGCAATGATTAAGGTATTTCTGGGTTACAGTGTGTCCTTTATCCTAGGGATATGTGGAAAGTCACGAGGGGGCTTCCTCTGGTTAGGGTTGTAGTTTGGAAAGCTCTCTCTGCTCTGTGGAAAGTTGACTGAATGACTGAGCTTAGAGGGAGGGAGCTGATTAGGAGCCTGTTGTAATAGGCAAGGGGAGAGAGCTTTAGCAGCACGTGAACCAAGTCTATGGTAGGAATGATGGAGAGGAGGGGATGATGCTGAAGATGTTAGTGGAGACAGAGTTGACAGGACTTGGAGATTGAGTGGCTGAAACTCACCAGGGTTAAGGAGGAGCAAAGTGTGAGACTTAGGTTCAGGTCTCAGTGAGTGGATGGGTCACAGGGTTCCGGAAGTGGGGAACCCAGGTGCATAAACTCATCTGAGGGTGAGCAAGGAAAGAAGTTTGGGGTGTCAATGAGTCACCCAAGCAGACATGTCCACTCTCCTGTCCAGGCTGATCAGTGGCTCATCTCTTCTCAAAGTAGCTGTTGCCGCTGTGGGGCAGCTCTCATTCCTCCTGCTTTGATGCAAAACGTATCCTTATGATTTTCACCTTACTTCTGGTTCTGGCTTCACCATCAAGTATGGAAAGTCTTTCATCCTTTATTTAACCTTTCCCAGTGAAGTTTTTCTTCATGCCACAGCCTCCAAGAAGTAAGCTTGCAAACTTGCCTTATAAAGTCTCTTTTTCTGTCTGGTCTGGTCACTCCTGCCCTCTAGTGGTTAGTGCTAGGGCAGCATGGGGCTGGGTACCCACGGGGCCTACTGGGTTCTATCCCAGCCCGTCTTCCCTGCCTTCCTGTCTTTTCCTAGGCTTTCACCAGAATCCCTCTCATCCGCACCTTGTCTTGCCATCAGATTAAGTTTGGCATTGGAGCGATATCCTGTGTCCTGTCCTAATGATTCAAGAGGAAAAGACCTTGAAAATTACATAATCCAGCTCCCCACTTTCACATCTGTGGACCAAAATGACTACAACGGCCTTCTAACCTGTCTGGCTCCTTTCATAGACACATCCTCTAGGTCTATTTCTACACAGTGGCCAGGTAGACCAGATATCCCTCTTGTCTCTAACCCTCCAATGGCTTACTTTCACAATTGGCTTCAAATCAAAATTGATTTCAACATGGCCCTTCATGATCTGACCCCTCTCTGCTTTTCTAAACATTCTCTTACAAGAATCTTGTTCTAACTTCCTGATGGAGCTGGCCATCCCTCTGTTCTTCAAATGTGCCTTGCTTTTTCCTACCTTAGTGCCTTTGCTTATACACTTCTCTCTCCCCATCCTTTATGTTTCAGCCTAAAGATCACTCCTGAAAGAAGTGAAATTGTCTCTGTTTGCTGATGACATGATCTTAAATATAGAAAATCCTAAAGATTCTACAAAAAAAAAAAAACCTGTTAGAACCGATAAACAAATTCAGTGAAGTTGCAGGGTACGAAATCAACACGCAAAAATCAGTAGCATTTTTTTATACTAACAACAAACTAACTGCTAAGGAACTTAAGAAATCAATTTCATTCACAATAGCACCAAAAAATGAAATGCTTAGGAGTAAATTTAACCAAGGAGGTGAAAGACCTTCTTACTGGAAACTATAAAACATTGGTGAAAGAAATTGTAAGTGACACAAATAAATGGAAAGGTATCCCGTGTTCACGGATTGGAAGAATGATATGTCCGTACTAACCAAAATGATCTGCAGATTCAATGCAATCCCTATCAACATTCCAATGTTATTTTTCATGGAAATAAAAAAATCCTAAAATTTGTATAGAACCACAAAAGAATCTGAATAGTCAAAGCAATTTTGAGACAAAAGAAGAAAGCTAGAGGCACTTGAAATCTATTACAAAGCTATAGTAATCAAAACATGGTACTGACAAATACACAATGACCGATAGAACAGCAAAGAGATCCCAGAAATAAACCCACACACTTACAATCAATTGAAATTTGACAAAGGTGACAAGAACACACAATGGAGACAAGACAGTCTCTTCATAAGTGATGTTGGGAAAATTGGATATCCGTAGGCAGAGGAGTGAAGTTGGACCCTTATCTCACATCATACAAAAAAACACCTCAAAATAGATTAAAGACTTAAATATAAGACCTGAAACTATAAAACTACTAAAAGAAAACAAAGGGGGAAAATTCCATGACATTGGTCTGGGCAATTATTTCTTGGACATTGTCCAAGTGTCTCCAAAAGCACAGGCAGCAAAAGCAAAAATAAACAAATGGAATTGCATCAAACTAAAAAGCTTCTGCAGAGCAAAGAAGCAATGAATAAAGATGCAACCCAGAGATTGGGAGAAAATATTTGCAAACCATACATCTGATAAGGGGCTAATATCCAAAATATATAAGGAATTCAAACAACTCTATAACAAGAAAATAAATAATCCAATCAAAAAATGGGCAAGTAAACCAAATAGACATTTCTCAAAAGAAGACATACAAGTGGCTAACAGATATATGAAAAAAATGCTCATTATTACTAATCATCAGGGAAATGCAAATTAAAACCATAATGAGATCTCACCTCACACCTGTTAGAATGGCTATTATCAGAAAGATGTCAGATACAAGTGTTGGAGCGAGTGTAAAGAAAAGGGAAAACTTGTGCACCATGAGTGGGAATGTAAATTTTTTGTCTTTATGATAAAATAATAGAATGACATTATTTATTTCCTTTTATCAAAGAAGCTAATTGATACACAACAGGTGACTTGGTTTCAGGCCCAAAGGTAGCAGCAGCAACATTAATAATGGAAATAATTGAATAGTTATGTATGTAATGCCTGTCACCAGAAGGCTATTTCAAGTTCAGCAGGAATGACTCCATACATATTATTATTTCTATAACTACATTTAAGTCATTACCAGGAACTGCTTTGTTTTGTAGTGAACCTTGAATATGTGCTGTTAATGTACCAAACTGGGGAAAAAAATAAGGGATTCCTTTCAAAAGTTAAGAGAAACAAGTGTGTAAGAAATTATTTTGTGGCTGGGCGCGGTGGCTCACGCCTGTAATCCCAGCACTTTGGGAGGCCGAGGCGAGTGGATCACCTGAGGTCAGGAGTTCAAGACCAGTCTGGCCAAAATGGTGAAACCCCGTCTCAACTAAAAATACAAAAAAAATTAGCTGGGCGTGGTGGCGGGCGCCTGTAATCCCAGCTACTTTGGGAGGCTGAGGCAGGAGAATCACTTCAACGTAGGAGGTGGTGGTTGCAGTGAGCCGAGATGGTGCCATTGCACTACAGCCTGGGCAACAAGAGTGTAACTGTCTTAAAAAAAAAAAAAAAGAAAAGAAAATTTGCCTATTAAATGTTCAGTATGTGGCATTCTCTTGTCAGTAAAATGGAAAAATAAGCTAAAAATAATTGGCTAAGTCCTATTAAGTTACAAGATTAAGTGTATTATATTTTCATTCAAAATTCGGTGCTCATTAATTTATAATCGGTAGTATAGCTAAATTGCTATCTTTGTATAAAAACTGAGCATAAAGTTGCTGATAAATCTCTCAGTATGAACAGAAGTTGAAACCTATTTAGTTCAGTAGGGCAGCTCAGGGATTTTTTTACACAACATGTACATCTTCCCATTTTAAGTTAGAATTATTTTACAATAGCTGGTGTACAGAAACAGCTGGCACTGGTTGTCAGCTAAATTAAAGTAGTAAGGATCAACTAGTTTTTGTTGATATCTGAATAACAGCGTTGTTTCATAGCTTTGTATTTCCTAAAGAAATATAAGGCTTCTAGCTCTTTCATTACAAATTCGCCCTGTACAGTAAGTTCTTTGATCTTCTCTGGATTCTTCACGTCTTTGTTTTTAAGGAAAATGTTGTTCAAACGCCGTTTAAAATAGTCTGCTCCTTTTGGATAGTCTCGTCCAAGATACAGTAGTTTTTTTTTTTTTTTTTTTTTTGAGACGGAGTCTC
The DNA here is from genome assembly GCF_000001405.40 of Homo sapiens. Lineage (NCBI taxonomy): Eukaryota > Metazoa > Chordata > Mammalia > Primates > Hominidae > Homo > Homo sapiens. The sequence goes on along the minus strand of NC_000022.11, from coordinate 33,015,207 downwards.
ACTCTGTCGCCCAGGCTGGAGTGCTGTGGCGCCATCTCGGCTCACTGCAACCTCCGCCCCCCGGGTTCACTCCATTCTCCTGCCTCAGCCTCCCCAGTAACTGGGACTACAGGCGCCCGCCACCACGCCCGGCTAATTTTTTTGTACTTTTAGTAGAGACGGGGTTTCATCAAGATACAGCAGATTTTTATAAAGATTTAGTACTTATCCTCTTAAAGAATTGGCCATTTTCATTTATCATGTAAATTATCCACTTTTATGCATAACATACTTTGCCTCCAGACCCCAGGATCCCGGAAACGGAACAAAACTCCCCGGCGGCGGCACTCAAGCACCTTCCACTCACGCACTTTCCGGCACGCCGGAGCCGTAAAAGCCTCGACCGCTTCTACGACTCTTGTCCTTCGACTGCGAAGCTGGCTTTTTTGAGACAGAGTTTTGCTGTTGTTGCCCAGGCTTGAGTGCAATGGCGCGATTTCGGCTCACCGCAACTCCCGCCTCCCGGGTTCAAGCGATTCTCCTGCCTCAGCCCCCCGAGTAGCTGGTGCTACAGGCACCTGCCACCACGCCTGGCTAATATTATATTTTTAGTAGAGACGGGGTTTCTCCATGTTGGTCAGGCTGGTCTCCAACTCTGGACCTCAGGTGATCCGACCACCTCGGCCTCCTAAAGTGCTGGGATTACAGGCGTGAGCCACCCTGTCCGGCGGGAATGTAAATTAATACGGCCATTATGGAAAACGGCATGGAGGTTCCTCAGAAAACTAAAAATAGAACTACCATATGATCCAGCAGGCTCACTTCTGGGTATGTATCCAAATATATTGAAATCAATTTATCAGAGCTATCTGCACTCCCAGGTTCATTGCAGCATTATACCCAGTAGCTAAGATATGGAACTAACCTAGGTGCCCATCATCAGAGGAATGGATAAAGTAAATGTGGTATATATACACACGATGGAATACCATTCAGCCTTAAAAGGAGGGGGAAGCTAGGACCCATTGGCTTATGCATGTAATCGCAGCACTTTGGGATTCTAAGCAGGAGAATTGCTTGAGGCCGGGAGCTCGAGACCAGCCTAGGCAACATAGTGAGAGCCCCGCCCCCTAATTTTTTTTTTTTTTTTTTTTTAACTAGCTGGGCATCTTAGTACACGTCTGTAGTCCCAGCTACTCTGGAGGCCGAGGTGGGAGAGTCACTTAAGCCTGGGAGGTTGAGGCTGCAGTGAGCTATGATCACACCACTGCACTCCAGCCTGGGCAACAGAGTGAGACCCCATCTCAGACCAAAAAAAAAGGAGGGGAAAATTCTGCTATTTGCTACAACATGGATGAACTTGAAGAACATTATGCTAAGTGAGATAAGCCAGGGACAGAAAGACAAATACCACATGATCTCACTTGTAAGTGGCATCTAAAACCATTGAACTCATAGAATTTGAGAGTAGAATGTGGTTGCCTAAGGCTGGAGAGGGGGCTGAATGGGGAAAGCGGACATGTCGGTCAGAGAGTACAAAGTTTCAGTTATGAGAGATAAGCCCTTGTGATCTTTTGCACAGAATAGTGACTTTACAGTCACTATAATGCATTATAAATAATGCATTGTATATTTCAAAATTGCTAAAAGAGTAGATTTTAAATTTTTTTTCCACAGAAAATGATGTGTGTGAGATGATAGATTTGTTAATTAGCTTGACTTAATCATTCCACAATGTAAACATAGCAAAACATCACAGAAATATATATAATTATTGCTTGTCAATTGAAAATGAAATTTTTAAAAGTAACTTTCTCAGAGAGGCCTTCTCTAACCATCCTCTCTGCAAAAGTCCTGCCCCAAGTGAATTTCGATGACCACACTCTGTGTATTGTTTACTTGCACTTACCCTAAACCATAAATGTTTGTCTGCATGTTCATGATTGGCCTCCCTTTGCCAGCCTGTAAGTTCCACTGGGGCCTGTAGTGGGCAGAAGTTACCTGAGAAGCCTTTGACTAACATTGGAGTAGGTCAAAAGATGGTAAGAGGTGATTTTTTTTCAAAGTCAGGGAATTCATATCAATGGAAGGTTGACCAGAGTTCCTGAAGAAGGAATTGTTAAATAAACTCTAAGATCCCTTCAACCCTAACATTTTAACTTTTCCATCTGGTATTTGAAAAATGGAAGGGGCTCAGTTCCAGTAATGACGGCATAGCCTAAGTTGAACTAAACCTCTCACAGATGATAATGATAAACTTTGGAAAAAATCTTTAAAACGATTTGAGGTTGCTGGAGAAAAACAAAAAATAGACAGGAGGTGGACAGGATTTGACCCTTGAAGGAAGGAAAACCACACCCACTTAGTGAAATATACATTTAGGTGGCTCTTCCCACGCCACCTGGCATGGAGCAGCTGGAACTCAAGTGGAGAGCTGCAGCTTTGCTGGTTTGACAAATCAGGGGGCAGAGTATAAGCTCACAGAGTGGCTGGAAAATGAGGACATCTAAAGAGATGCCCCAGGTCCATGTGCCCACTAAAATCAACTGGCACCTCTGTTGAACCTGTGATGGTTCTGTCTGTCTCTCAGCCCAAATCTGCTTTTCATTCCTGCCCACAGTTGTTGAGCATAGATGGAAGCACTGCCTAATAAACTTCCTGCTTGCAAGTCACCATGGGAGTGTCAGCTACCTGGGGAATTGGACTTGAAAGCAGTCTAAGTAATATTTGTAGAGCATTACACCCAGCAACCACAAAATATGCATTCTTTCCAAGTGCATCTGGAACATTCATCAAGGTAGACTGTATTGAACCATAAAATTAATCTTAATGAACGGCAAAGGTTTAAAACCTTATAGACTGTGTTCAAGAATCACAAATGAATTATATTAAAAGCATTAACAAGACAATAATTAAAAAGCACTGAAATTTGAAAATTAAATGCATGTTTTAGTAATACATGGGTCAAAAAATTATAAGGGATAAACAGAATAATTTAAAATGAATGATAATGAAAATATGTCAGAATTTCTGGGAGGGAAGCACATTGCTTTAAATACTTATATTGGGGAAAAAAAGAGTTTAAAATTAATGATCTGTGTTTCCAGCTCAAGGCTCTAGAAAACAGAATAGCAAATTAAACTTAAACCAAAAGTAAGGAGAAGAAAGGAAGTAATAAAAAACAGAAATAAGTGAAATAGAAAACAAACAATGGAGAAATTGAAAAGGCTGCAAGTTGGTGCCCTGCAAGAGTAATACAATTTATAAATTCTTAGCAACATGGATCAGTCAAAAAGAGAGAAAAAGCAAATTACCAATATCAGGAATATCAGGAGGAATCATAAGATCCTACAGAAAGGATATGTTATGAACAACTTTATGCCAGTAAGTTTCACAACCAAGATGAAATGGACAAAATGCTCGAAATCACATATTGTCAAAATTGAGATAAAAAGAAAAACAAAATATGAATAGCTTTATAAAAGAGATTGAATTCATTATTAAAAACTTTCCCACAAAGAAAAACCAACCCCAGATGGTTTCACTGTTGAATTCTGCCAATAATTTAAGAAAAAAAACACAATATTACACAGACTCTTTCAGAAAATAGAAAAGGAGGGAATGCTTCCCAACCTATTTTGTGAGGTTAATATTACCCTGATACCAAAACCTAGCAAAAACATTGCCAAAAAATAAAACCACAGACCAATGTTTTTTTGTCATGAACATAGACACAAAAATAGCAAAATATTATCAGATTGAATCCACCAATATATAAAAAGGGTAATACACTATGATCAAGTGGGGTTTATCCCAGGAATGCAAGTTTGGTTTAACATTTAAAAATCAATCAGTATAATTTACCACATTGTTAAGCAAATAAATGGTTTCAAAAACATATAATCCTCTCAATAGATTTAGTAAATCACTTGGCAAATTCAACTCCCAAATGATAAGAACTCTCATCCAAATAATAATAGAAGAGAACTGCCTGAATCTAATAAAGTGGATTTACCAAAAACCTCTAGTTAACACCACATTAATGGTGAGATACTGAGTGTTTCCCCCCTAAGATTCGGAACAAGGTAAGGTGTGTGTTTTCATGATTTCTGTTCAATATTGGAGGTCCTAGCTAGGACAGTCAGATAAGGGAAATTAGTAAAAGGCATTCAGATTAGAAAGAAAGAAGTAAAGATCTCTATTTATAGATGACATTATTTAAATAGAAAGTATCAAGGAATCTATAAACAACTAGTAGCAACAATACTTGAATTGAGCATGTCAGTATATTGAAAATAATATTATACTAGCAGCAAACAAATGGAAAGTGAAATTTAGAAAACAGTGTCATTTTAAAAACATGCAAAAAACCCCAAACGAAATAGGAATAAATTTAGCAAAATGTATGCGAGATCTCTATATTGAAAATCACAAAAAAATTTCTGAGTAGAGGGGTCTACTGTGTTCATAGAGAACCCAATATTGTTCAGTGACAATTCTACTCAGTCTATGCAATCTCGAACAATATTCCAACAGACTTTTTCATAAAAGTTGATTTTAAAATGCATATGAAAATAGGACCTAGGATATCTAAGACAATCTTGAGACAGAAAATTTAAGTTGGAGGACTCACTTTACCTGATTTTAAAACTTTCTGGAAAGCCATAGCAATCAATAAATGTAAGAATAGACAGAGAGATCAGTGGAGCATATTAAACATAGTCCAGAAGTAGGCCCACACATGTACAGCCAATTGGTGCCAACAAGGCCACCAAAGCAATTTAGTGGGAGAAAAATACTTTCATAAATGGTGCTGGCAACCTGGATAAATGAACGGGGCTGAAAATGAACTTCATACCCTACTTCATACCACTCAAAAATCAAGTTTAGTTGGATCCCCGACCTCAACAGAAAAGCTAGAACTATAAAGCTTCTACAAGACACTGTAGGATGGTATGATTGTGATCTTGGGGTTGGCAGATTTTTTTTTTTTTTTGGGACAGAGTTTTGCTCCTTTTGCCCAGGCTGAAGTGCAATGATGCGATCCTGGCTCACCGCAACCTCCGCCTCCCAGGTTCAAGTGATTCTCCTGCCTCAGCCTCCCAAGTAGCTGGGATTACAGGCATACACCACCATGCCCAGCTAATTTTGTATTTTTAGTAGAGACGGGGTTTCTCCATGTTGGTCAGGCTGGTCTCGAACTGCAGACCTCAGGTGATCCACCCACCTTGACCTCCCAAAGTGCTGGGATTACAGGCGTGAGCCACCACGCCCAGCCTGGCAGAGATTTTTAAGAACAGACACAGAAACACTAACCATAAATGAAAAATTTGATAAATTAGGTTTCATAAAAATAAAAGTTTCTGTTTATCAAAACATCTGCAGATATATATAAGACTTTATATATATTATATTTATATTATATGCATATATAAGTGTGTGTGTGTGTGTGTGTGTGTGTGTGTGTGTGTGTGTGTTTAGATACGTATATATGAAAGGATATGTAAAGTATTCCCAGTACCCAAAATACAGAAGTGTGGTCTCATCCTATAGTATAATTTTTTTTTCTTATTGGGATGCTTTTATCTCAAATAAACAATTCACTTTTTTAAGAGTTGTTTTATTCTGCCATACTTCTGCTCATGAAGGAAATGAAGCAGCAAGCCACAGAATGGTAGAAAATATTTACAATGTACGTATCTGAGAAAGGACTTGTATCTAGAATGTATAAAGAACTCCTACAAATCAAAAATAAAAAGATAAACAACCCACCTTTTAGAAATGGGCCAAAGATTTGAATAGATATCCACAAAAGAAGATATGTCACTGGCCAGTAAACCCATGAAACTTGTTCAATGTCATTAAATATCAGACAAAATAAATTTAAAACACAATAAGATACTATGCTACACCCACTAGAATGGGTAGGATGAAAACGACGACAACCAAATGTGAGAAAGGATGTGGAGGAACGGGAACTCTCAAATGGAGTGTGCAAAATCAAACAACCACTATGGGAAACTTTTTGACAGTTTCTTATTTAGACATACACTTACCCCATGACCCAACAAATTAACTCCTAGGTATTTTCCCAAAGAAAAGATCTACTTCTCAATTTATCCATCCATCCATTCATCATCTATCTATCTAGCCCCACAAAAAGACTTAAATAAAAATTTCTTGCAGCAATTTATGCATAATTTCTGAAAACTGCAAACATTTCCGATTTTCTTTTTCTTTTTTCTTTTTCTTTTCTCTCTCTCTCTTTTTTTTTTTTTTTTTTTTTTTTTTTTTTTTTTTTTTTGAGATAAAGTCTTACTCTGTCACCCAGGCTGGAGTGCAGTGACGTGATCTTGGCTCACTGCAACCTCCACCTCCTGGGTTCAAGCGATTCTCGTGCCTCAGCCTCCCCAGTAGCTGGGCGTACAGGCCCACACCACCACACCCAGCTTTTTAAAAAAAATTATTTTTACTTTTAGTAGAGAGAGAGTTTTGCCTTGTTGGCCAGGCTGGTCTCAAACTCCTGGCTTCAAGTGATCTGCCCACCTCAGCTTCCCAAAGTTCTGGGATTACAGGTGTGAGCCACCATGCCTGACCTCAAATTTTTATCAACAGGAGAATGGAGTAGCAATTTGTGGTTTATCCATCCAGTAGAATGGTATTCAGTTATTTTAAAAATAGAATGACTGCTATACAACATATTGCATCTCAGAACCATTGAGGGAAGCAGTTATTAACAAAAGCATAATATATTTGATTACATTTATATGAAGTTCAAGAACAGGTAAAATTAATAAACGGTGACATGCATCAGAAGAGTATTTGCCTGTTAGGAGATGTGGAGGGACCAGAAGGGGTACAAAAGAACTTTCTGAGGTGTAGAAATATAATAAACATTATACCAGTATATACATTTATCAAAACTCAAAGAAGTGTATACCTAAGAACTGTGCATTTCAATCTTAAGTAAATTTTACTGCAATAAAAATACTGGCTGGGCACAGTGGCTCACGCCTGTGATCCCAGCACTTTGGGAGGCCAAAGCAGGCAGATCACTTGAGGCCAGGAGTTTGAGACCAGCATGGCCAACATGGTGAAACCTCATCTCTACTAAAAATACAATAATTAGGTGGGCGTGGTGGTGGGTGCCTGTAATCCCAGCTACTTTGGAGGCTGAGACAGGAGAATCACTTGAATCTGGGAGGTAGAGGTTGCAGTGAGCCAAGATCGTGCCACTGCACTCCAGGCTGGGTGATGAAGTGAGACCCCGTTTCAAAAAAAAAAAAAATTGTATATAATAATCTTAACAAAAAATATAAAATCTAATTCCATGGTTTAAATAGTCATTGTTCTCAATGGGATGTTTTGATCTCAAATGAACAGTGTGGGTTTTTTAAACTTATGTTACTCTGTTTAGAAAAGCAATAGATGTGTATATTATCTGCTTGTGCTGACATAACAAAATACCATAGGCTGGGTGAGTTAAACAACAGGTACTTATTTCTCACAGTTCTGGAGGCTGGGAAGTCCAAGGTCAGGGTGTCAGCTTTGCCTGGTTCTGGTGAGGGCTCTCTCCTGGTTTGCAGATGGCTGCCTTTTACCTTTGCTTTCACACAGTGCAGGGAAAGCAAGCTCTCTGGCATCCTTTCTTATAAGGGCTGTACTTCCATCGCGTGGGCCACACCCTCATGACCCCACTAACCATAATTACCTCCCAAAGGGCTCATTTCCGAAGCATCATATTCAGCATTATCTTCAACATATAAATTTGGTGAGGTGGGGGACATGCCGGTCCATAGTAATAAGCACTCTAGAAAATTAGAAAAATATAAGTAAGAGGAAAGAAAAAGAAAAAAAGGCATGTACTTGCGTTACCAAAATATAATCACTGTTAACACTTTGATTTCTTTTATTTCCAAAGTTTTGTTCTTTCAACTTGTACATCTTTGTAGTCATTTGGTTCCTATAATTTTGAATCATTATCTTTTAAATTTGTCATTAGAACATGAAATTGTTTCTGTTACCAAAATCCGTTCTTCAGGGCACCTTTAAAAATAGCCACAATAGGTTCATTGAGTAACTGTGCTGTAGTTGACTTATTTGTTAAACTGTGGTTGAATGTTGAGATACTTCCCAGTATTTCGCTAGTGTAAATAACCTGTGATTAACATATTTGTGCATGAAGCTTTTTCTGTAACTTAGAATCTTTCTTTGCGATATAATTCCAGAAAATGGAAATTGTAGGTTAAAAAGCTATCCTCTTAATACATGTTGCCAAATTCCTTTCCAGAAGGATGTCCTAATTTACATTACCACCTGCAGTGGGGCAGGAAAGCGCTGTATCTGTTTGCTCTTAAGGGGGTGGAGGTCGTTTCCACTTATGTATTTGTTGGCTTATTTCCAGCAGGTAAATAAAGGCAGCTAAAGCTGACTGCTGGTTGCGCAAAATCCCCCTGGCTCTTCTGGCTAAAGTCCTACCACTCCCTGTACCTGGCAGCAGCCTGTCTTCTGGGCCTCACCTACACACGTCTGGGTAGGAGCCAGTCATCTCCATCCATCCACAGCCATGAATTTCCTCCGGCGACGTCTCTCTGACAGCAGCTTCATGGCCAACCTGCCTAATGGCTATATGACGGACCTGCAACGCCCAGATAGCTCCACCAGCTCACCTGCTTCCCCCGCCATGGAGAGGAGGCACCCCCAGCCCCTGGCTGCCTCCTTCTCCTCTCCAGGATCCAGCCTTTTTAGCTCCCTCTCCAGTGCCATGAAGCAGGCCCCTCAGGCCACCTCAGGACTGATGGAGCCTCCAGGTCCCTCCACGCCCATTGTTCAAAGACCCAGGATCCTGTTGGTGATCGATGATGCCCATACAGACTGGTAAGTAGGAATTTGCAAGTGCTACCACCTTCTGGGGCAAGAGAGGAGTGGGGATTATCTCATCTCCTGGGGAAATAGAAGGGGAGAGCTATGAGAGGCTTGGGTGCTATCAGAGCCTGGCTGGAGAGAAGGAAACTAACATGTACCAAGTGGCTGCTGCATGCTAGGCCCACAGCACCTACTTAGTGCCACATTCTCTTCTAAGGGCTTTATATTTACAGGTCCACAGTCCCTCGCCTGCAAATCCCAAATCCAACACACTCTGGAAACTAGAAAATGTTTTGCAATTCTTTTGGTAGCAAAGCCTAATCTGCAGGAAAGTGAGGCTATAATTATACTAAGTGTGTTTGTTCATATGATTTGCTGCAAGCATCTGAATGTGTTTGATATGGAGTATAGTTCAGAGCCTGCTGGAAGTGTTATATAAAATATGGTATATTCACCATATTACCTTCCTAAAAATGGAAAACTTTTAATATCTGAAATACGTCTGGCAGTACTTGGCAGATTAACCTGTCAGCCTCAGCCACCCTCCTTCCATAAAATGAGCTTGTTATGAGGATAAAAGAAAGCAATACAAGTCCACAGTCCTTATCCCAAACCTTGGGATCAGAGTGCCTGAGTGTGCATCTCAGCTCTCCCAGGTACTGGCAGTCTGGCTCCAGAGCCTGTCTTCTGAACACCAAAGGTGGGCAGAAATGACCACTGCCAGCCTCTTCTCAGACAGTGCTCCCTAGCTGGTAAGTTCCACAGTGGCAGAGACCTGATACCTGTGTCAAGATCACTGTAGCAGTCATTCACCAGGTAGTTTACTGAGCACTGATTCGGTGCCAGGCATAGCTGAGATGCATGGGTATAGTAGGGAACAGGCTCCTGCTTATGTGGAGCTGCATTTGGAGAATAAGTCTATCCCAGCTGTTTGGTACTCAGAGGTGATAAATGTTATCAGTCTAGCTGGAGACATAGAAATTGCAGTTCAGGAAGTGAGCCCAACTATGGAGATGGAAGCATTGCATCCAGAGCAGAGGAATACATGGATGGGAACCAGAAAAGTCTGACAGTGGACTCATACATGGCTTTTGGGGATGGAGAACAGGGTCGCATGTGCATGTCTCCAAAGGTGGCCACATAGTAGGTGTATCAGTCTGTTCTCACACTGCCTGAAGAACTGCCCGAGACTGGGTAATTTATAAAGGAGAGAGGTTTAATCAACTCACAGTTCCACGTGGCTGGGGAGGCTTCAGGAAACTTACAATTATGGTGGAAGGCACCTCTTCATAGGGTGGCAGGAGAGAGAATGAATGAGTGCCAGGTGAAGGGGGAAGCCCCTTATAAAACCATCAGCTCTTGTGAGAACTCACTCACTACAATGAGAACACCAACGTGGGGGTAACCACCCCCAGGATTCAAATTACCTCCCTCTGGGTCCCTCCCATGACACATGAGGATTATGGGAACTACAATTCAAGATGAAATTTGGGTGGGTACACAGCCAAACCATATCATTCCACCCCTGGCCCCTCCCAAATCTCACATTTCAAAACACAATCATGCCTTCCCAACAGTTCCCCAAAGTCTTATTCCAGCATTAACCCAAAAGTCCAAGTCCAAAGTCTCACCTGAGACAAGGCAAATCCCTTCCTCTTAGAAGCCTGTAAAATCAAAAGCAAGTTAGTTACTTCCTAGATCCAATGGAGGTATTGGCATTGGGTAAATACACGCATTCCAAATAGGAGAAATTGGCCAAATCAAAGGGGCTACAGGCCCCATGCAAATCTGAAATCTAGTGAGGCAGTAATTAAATCTTAAAGCTCTGAAATAATCTCCTTTGACTCCATGTCTCACATCCAGGTAACTCTGATCCAATGAGGTAGTAATTAAATCCTAAAGCTCTGAAATAATCTCCTTTGACTCCATGTCTCACATCCAGGTAATGCTGATGCAAGAGGTGGGCTCCCATGACCTTGGATAGCTCCATCCCTATAGTTTTGCAGGGTACAGCTTCCCCTCCCAGCTGATTTCACAGGCTGGCGTTGTGTCTTTTCCAGGCTCACAGTGTGAAGTGTCAGTGGATCTACCATTCTGGGGTCTGGAAGACAGTAGCCCTCTTCTTACAGCTCCACTAGGCAGTGCCACAGTGGGGACTCTGTGTGGGGGCTCCAACCCCACATTTCCCATCCCCACTGCCCTAGCAGAGGTTCTCCATGAGGGCCCCACCCCTGCAGCAAACTTCTGCCTGGACACCCAAGTGTTTCCATACATCCTCTGAAATCTAGGCAGAGGTTCCCAAACCTGAATACTTCTGTGCATCCGCAGGGCCAGCACCATGTGGAAGGTGCCAAGGCTTGGGGCTTGCACCCTCTGAAGCAACAGCCTCAGCTGTACCTTGGTCTCTTTTAGCCACAGCTGAAGTGGCTGCGACACAGGCACCAAGTCCTGATACTGCACACAGGAGGGAGGGCCCTGGACCCAGCCTATGAAACCATTCTTCCCTCCTAGGCCTCCTGGCATGTGATTGGAGGGGCTGCCCCCAAGGTCTCTGACATGCCCTAGAGACATTTTCCCCATTGTCTTGGTAATAAACATTCGGCTCCTTGTTACTTATGCAAATTTCTGCAGTGGGCTTGAATTTCTCCCCAGCAAATGGATTTTTCTTTTCTATCACATTGTCAGGCTGCAAATTTTTCAAACTTTTATGCTCTGCTTCCTCTTGAATGCTTTGCTGCTTAGAAATTTCTTCTGCCAGATACCCTAAATCATCTCTCTCAAGTTCAAAGTTCCACAGATCTCTAGGGCCGGGGCAAAATGCTGCCAGTCTCTTTGCATAGCAAGAGTGACCTTTACTCCAGTTCCCAAAAAGTTTTTCATCTCCATCTGAGACCACCTCAACCTGGACTTCATTATCCATATCACCATCAGAATTTTGGTCAAAACCATTCAACAAGTCTCTGGGAAGTTTCAAACTTTCCCACGTCTTCTTGTCTTCTGAGCCCTCCAAGCCTCTAGGAAGTTCCAAACTTTCCCATATTTTCCTGTCTTCTTCTGAGCCCTCCAAACTGTTCCAACTTCTGCCTGTCATCCAGTTCCAAAGTCACTTACACATTTTTGGGTATCTTTACAGAAGCATCCCACTCTCTGGGGTACCAATTTACTATATTAGTCCATTCTCACACTGCTATAAAGAACTACCTGAGACTGGGTAATTTATAAAGGAAAACGGGTTTAATTGACTCACAGTTCCACATGGCTGGGGAGGCCTCAGGAAACTTACAATCATGGCAGAAGCCACCTCTTCACAGGGTGGCAGGAGAGAGAATGAATGAGTGCCAAGTGAAGGGGGAAGCACATTATAAAACCATCAGCTCTTGTGAGAACTCGCTACCACAAGAGCAGCAGCATGGGGGTAACTGCCCCCATGGTTCAATTACTTCCCACTGAATCCCTCCCACAACACATAGAGATTATGGGAACTACAGTTTAAGATAAGATTTGGGTGAGTACACAGTCAAACCGTATCAGTAGGCACCAAGTAACTATGTATTAACTGAATAAATGAATGCATCCCATTCATTAAATGTGCCAGATGCTCTGTTAGTCCAATGTGCATGTATATACACTCATTCACTCCTTGAGACATTAACTTAGTTTGGGAATGATTAAATCTATGCTTTGCTATTTATAGTTTTTTTTGTTTTGTTTTGTTTTTTTGAGATGGAGTCTTGCTCTCTTGCCCAGGCTGTAGTGCAGTGGCACGATCTCAGCTTACTGCAACCTCCACCTCCCAGGTTCAAGTGATTCTTTTGCCTCAGCCTCCCAAGTAGCTGGGACTACAGGCAGGCGCCACCACGCCCGGGTAATTTTTTTGTATTTTTACTGTAGACAGGGTTTCACCATGTTAGCCAGGAGGGTCTCGATCTCCTGACCTCATGATCTGCCCACCTCGGCCTCCCAAAATGCTGAGATTACAGGTGTGAGCCACCGCACCTGGTGCTATTTATAGTTTTTAATGCATACTCTATGTAAAGTCAACATTAAAGTATGTTCAGCAGATTCAGACCATCAGTCTGACTTTACTGCTTCCTGCTCAGAAATTGCCTCTTCTTAACCAGATTGGTCATGTGAATCACCTGTCTTCCGATCCAGTGTGAATCATCTTAGGTGTTGCTGCTTGCTTAAGGGTATTTATCATGAAACTTTGTTTGTCTCTGCTTATGTGTTTATGTAAAGCATCACTATTAGGCTCTGAGCTTAGTGGTTGATGTCTGCCGGGGTGTTTCTTTTAGGCCCTCTGCCCTGAACAATGCCCATCTGCCTGGTAGTCAAAATGCCTGCATGGCCCTTGAAGTTTTCTCTCTCTCTTCATCCCAACATTTGACCTTGATTTTGAGTGTTCTCTGCTAGCTGTGTTATCCCTGGCTCAGCTGTTTGTCAGGGAAGTTACGTCTTTGCATGGAGGTTGAACTTAATAAATGGCAGTATGGTGCAATGTTAAGAATACAGACATCAGAGCTAGGCTATCTGGGTTGAAATTCCATCTCTACCCTGAAGTGACTAATGACCTTTGTAAATTACTGCACCTAAATGGGAATAATGATAGTACCTATGTCATAGAGTTAATGTATGTAAGTAGGGTTAAGATCTGAGTTAGTATAACAGTGCATGGGATGTGCCTGGTAGACAGTAAGTACTGCATAAGTGTATATTATTATTGCTGACTATTGTGATCCTTCCTGTGTAACATTAATCATCTTAACAGTAGCCCCTTGTAGGCATGCCTGTTTAATTTCTTCATGCCAAATATACAGGGCAGTCTGGATTAGGATTTATCCCATTGTGCTATTTATTTAACCCATTGGTCCGTTGGTCACTCTTCCCTGTAGGTCCTGGGTGATAAAGTTGGGTCTTATTAATATCTGTCCCTCCAGTGTCCATGTGGTATACAGTAGGGTAGGGGAACAGTGAATGAGGTTGAAATGCAATGAGTGGCCTCAGACATAACATTTAAATTTTGAATTTGATGTTCAGTCTCTCTATTCCACAGGAAGGACCAGTGTGTGAATTTTAGGCTGTGTGCAAGGGTAGGGACACAGCTTTGGCCAGAGGAGTTTTTCCCAATATATTTCAATCATTCGTCCTATGGCCACACTTTAATTGGGACTCAACAGTCTTTGTTTATGGTGTTCTTGCCCCTCAGTGGGTGAAAAAGGGGAGAAGTAAGAAACTAAGACTCATTAACTCATCTGGCAGTTGGCCCTGCAATTATTAGATGTTTGTGACAGAGACTTCCTACCACCAACATACAGCTTCTCCCACAGAACTCCATCCTAGATTCTTCACGAACTTCCTAACCTCTCTGAATCGCAACACTTTCCCGGCTTTCTCCAAATTGATGCTGACTGCCTTAGAGTCTCGGTCCTGTCCTGAAGAATCCCGGAAAAATGCCTGTCCCCTGCCACCAGGAGCGGCCAGCAGGTGGCAGGGCAGCCCCACAATGCCTGGGTGGTTCTGCAGAGTCTGGTGCCTCTGGGCCAGCCCCCTCCCCAGCCCCTCCTGCACTGTGTGAGCTGTCTCCCAGGGGAGGAAGTGGTTAAAGGGAAGAAGCCAGCTCACAGGGCCCCCTTCTTTCCCCTTTCAGATGATAATGAAGGGGAGAGGAGCTGCAGTCTGGACAGACAGTGAACCCACCCCAACCCCAACGGGGACGATGATGCTGCCCCCTTTTCTACCCTTCTCAGCCCTTCTCAGGAAGACAGACGTTTCTCTGTCTTCCCATTCCTGGTCCAGGGCCTTCCAGTAGAATCAGGTTTTGTTGTGGACAGGTGGGGTAATTGCAGGATACCACTCTTCCCTGCCTGATGTGTCCAGCTTGTAGACTCTGAGTCAGCCTGGGTCCCTTGAGGACGATCCAAAACCTGGCCAGTGACCTGGAGAGAGACCTTTCATCTTCAGGAGAAATAGAGGGTCTCAAAGCCGTCTTTGCTGGGAGAACTCATGGCCAGGCATTTAAAGATACTCTCTCCTGTTGGGGGTGCCTGAGGAGACCAGCCTGGCTAGGCAAGGATGTAAGGCCTGGCTCCGGATAGGTCTGAACTAAAGGTGATGCTCTCCTCTGGGATGGTGGGGGACAATCAGCAGTTTGTTTGTTTTTAAATGAGGTGGGGTTTCACTGTGTTGCCTAGGCTTGTCTTGAACTCCTGGGCTGAAGCGATCCTCCCACTTCGGCTTCCCAAAGTGCTGAGATTACAGGTGTGAGCCACCGTGCCCAGCCTCATCTGTAGATTTGAGAACCACAAGGGAAAGGAGAATTATAATTAATTGATATCAAACTCAGTTCTCTTCAGCCCCACTGCCACTCCACTGCTTATCTTGCCTAGAATTTTCCAGCAGCTTCACTGGTCTGAAACCTCCCATCTTGAGTTCACCTTCTGGTTACCTTCCATGGGACTACCCAAGGGTCATCTTTCTGAAACACAAATCTGACCAGTTTCACTTTGCTCCTGCCTGCCCCCTCCCCATGCATCTCGTTTTATTAATATAATCCTGTGGTGGGGGAATCGTTGCCCTCAAAGTCATAAGCATGCCTGCCCTGCCCTCCCTCTAGTTCTGCCTCCAGCTCTGCTTCCTGTGCTTTTATTGTTTGTTTTTGTTTTGTTTTGTTTTTGTTTTTTAGAGACAGAGTCTCATTGTGTTGCCTAGGCTGGAGTGGAATGGCGCAATCTCAGCTCACTGCAACCTCCACCTCCGAGGTTTAAGTGATTTTCATGCCCCAGCCTCCTGGGGGTCTGGGATTGCAGGCACAGGCCACCACGCCCAGCTAATTTTTGTATTTTTAGTAGAGACGGTTTCATCTTGTTGGCCAGGTTGATCTCGAACTCCTGACCTCAAGTGATCTGCCTGCCTCGGCCTCCCGGAGTGCTGGGATTATAGGCGTGAGCCACCGTGACTGGCCCTGTCCTGTTTATTCTGCAGGAAGAGTAAGCCACTTGTAGTTCTCAAACACACCTTTCCGCCTTAGTACATTCTGTTCCCTGTTACCTGGAATACCCTTCCCTATCTTGTACACCTGGCAAGTTTCCATTCATGTTTGAAATCCTGCTCAGGTGTCCCCTCTTCTGAGAATTCTTCCCTGACACACCCCACCCTGCAGTGTTAATATCGACCTCCCTTGTGTAACTTAAAACACACTTCATCATGCTGGCGCATCATGCAGGCGCACATACCACACTGTATCTGTATTATAATCGTCTCTTCTGCAAGAACAAGGCCTGTCTCTTACTCTTCCTAATGTCCCTGGAGCTCAACACACAGTAACTGTTCAGTTAGCATATGTCATTGCCCTACCTTAGTCCAAGCAGGATAACTTGTACTGGGCATAGTGGAGTCTGAAGCTCACCTCACCTTAGGGTTCAGGAACACAGAACACACGGTGGAGGAGTTTCTATTTTTATTCACTTCTGTATAAAATCTTGGCTCTTTACTTACCAGGATGCCAGAGTCACTGTAAGGCTGCTATTTGAAATTGTTTTTAAAAAGGAGGATGGAGGGACTTTTGTTTTTTTTTTTTTTTTTTTTTTTACTATTTCTATAGAATGTACCAGAATCCCAGGTTTGATTTTCAAAATCAAAACCTTTAACATGACCCAAAAAATAAAAAAGACAGGTGGAGTTGGTGTACCTCCCTGCCCTCAGTTTATCCTACAAGGTCTCTGGAGCCTGGATAGAATGGGGAGGAGGGCTGTTGGGGGAGCAGCGAATAGAAGCTGTTCCTCCCCAGGTCACTGCGGTCCTCCCTGGGTGGCCTCTGGAGCCCTGGCTCTCCTGTCCTCTTACTCTGCTGGTAGCCTTTTTCTCAGAAAATCTGCTCTTCCATTTCCGCAATGATCTATTGCTATCTTTGCTGTTATTGCCCACCCTTCCCAATGGTTTCTTTTTTCTTTTATTTGTTGGGTAAGAAATTAAAAGGGTGTCCTTGGTTTGAAACCCTCTGAAACCCTCCTCAGCTACCATCCATCTGGTGGAGAGAATATCAGACTACACCTTCCTACCAAACAAGGATTAATGACACCCATTGGTAAGCACCTTGTGCATTTCTAGATTTTCCAAGAGTTATTACGCTGTATGATCATCACCTATCTGCCCACCCACTTCTACATGGTGTCTGTATTTGCCCATGCCTAGAACAGGGCAGATAATAGGTACGTAGGAAATGCCTGTTGACTGAATGAGGAATTTGGGAGGTGGTGCGTTATTGGCAATGACAAGGTTGGGGGTGTGACAATCAAACTGAGGAATGACATTGGTGGCATTCTTTTTTTTTTTTTTTTTGAGATGGAGTCTCGCTCTGTCACCCAGGCTGGAGTGCAGTGGTTCAATCTCAGCTCACTGCAAGCTCCGTCTCCCGGGTTCACGCCCTTCTCCTGCCTCAGCCTCCTGAGTAGCTGGGACTACAGGCGCCCACCACCATGCCCAGCTAATTTTTGTATTTTTTAGTAGAGACGGGGGTTTCACCGTGTTAGCCAGGATGGTCTCGATCTCCTGACCTCGTGATCTGCCCGCCTCGGCCTCCCAACGTGCTGGGGTTACAGACGTGAGCCACCGCGCCCGGCCGGTGGCATTCTTAAAATTCTCTTTTTCCCTCTCACCTTGACTCAATCCAGCTGAAAATCACATTGGCTGTTGTGGGAGCATTTACACTGTGGAAACTGGCAAATGCTAGAAAGCAGGGCTTTTTGTTCCCCCATCCAGAGAACTGGTTGTTAAGCATTTGCCGAGGAGCAGGAGTTGACTGTCAGCTCATTTAAAGGTGAGGGGGGCAGAGCGTGGAGAAACCATGCACCTGCTCAAGGAGACAGAAGTGGGGCTGGGCTGGGACTTGAACTGGACTCATGTCGTAAAAGGAATTTCTGATGGTGCCACCCTCCTGCTGACCACTGCTACTGCTTCAGTGTGTGGCACGAGATAGATGCTGAAGAGTGTTGGTCAAATGACTGAACAAGCACATGAATGACAGAGCTCTTTGAGGATGGGGTCGTGTCTGCATCATCATCTTTTGGCAAGCATCTGTGCACGTCCCCTGACCAGGGGTTCAATGGCTTTCATAGATTCTCTAATTTAGCTCTCCCAATAACTGTATGGGGCACCAGTACTATTCTCATTGTATACATAGGGAAGACTGAGGCTCTGAGTCCAAAATCAAAGCAAATGCTACTGACATCTGGGACCTGGCTCAGGCCCATCCAAAGGGCTAGCCTGGGCACCGCAGTTCTTATGCCACTCCCCAACCTCTCCCACCTGAAGCTCAGCCCCTCCTCTACTGCTCCTGAGGGTGTTGACCTCGGGGAGCAGGACCCTGGGGCCTCACACCCCGGCACACACCCAGCGTCTGAGAGCAGTGTGAGGCAACGGGTGGCAGCACTCCATGTTACAGTGCACAGCCAAGCACAGGATTCCGGTGACCTCACCCTCAGAAGAAGGCGCCCCACCTCGAGCCAGGCAGCCCCGCCCTGCTGGAGCCCTCCGGGCAGCCAGAGCTTAAAGGGTGCCCAGGGAAAAGGGAATTCCTTTAGCCATACACATACTTACGAGTTCAGGTTTGCAAATTGGACCTTCTACAGAAATTGTCCTTGGATGTGCAGAGAATATTTTCCTCTTTTTAAAGCACCAAGGGATCTCAGGCAAGATCTTTTCTATTCTTTCCCGTATGTTTAGATATTAAAGATGTGATTTCCTAACACATGTCAGACATGATTCCCGAGAGTTAAATGGGAAAGAAGATAATACTCAAGAGAACTCTAGGCTGACAGGTGGTAGCGTGGGCTTGAAGTCCCAGCCACTCACTGTCTCTGTGGTCTTGGCCAAGATACTGTACCTTTTGGTACCTCAGTTTCTTTGTCTGTAAAGTGGGATCACAATGCCACCACCTTCCCTATACCACTGACTTCACAGGGATGTTATGAAGTGTCCAGTGAGAGTGCCGAGTTCCTCTCCTCCACAGCTGTTTTTCAGTGTGGGTGCTTAGTTTTTCAATGTAGATGTGAGTGACTTTGTTTGGTCCTACCCATATTGGACCAACTCTGACTCAAG
This sequence comes from Homo sapiens, assembly GCF_000001405.40. Classification (NCBI taxonomy): domain Eukaryota; kingdom Metazoa; phylum Chordata; class Mammalia; order Primates; family Hominidae; genus Homo; species Homo sapiens. Next base: position 32,996,268 of record NC_000022.11, on the reverse strand, counting down.
GTCAGAGTTTATGCCTTTCCTATGCAACCACTGACCCTCAGAGCCCAGCACAGTGCCTGGCTAGGATAGATGGACGGGAGGCTGGGATAGATGGATGACTTAAGGAATGAATGGATACTCTTGCCAAAGTCTGTTACCATTATTAAGGGTAAATTCAGGATTGAGGATGCCCTGGAAGAGAGTCTTAGAAAATATTCAGTTGCCCTGGAATTCAGGGAGAGTACCTGATACTTGCATGTTATTTCCAAGGCTTCCCCTCCTCCTTCTGGTGCAGCTGGTAACTCAGAGGCCAGTGTTTCCTTCAGGGGGAAAAAAAAAGGCCGGATGCGGTGGCTCACACCTGTAATCTCAGCACTTTGGGAGGCAGACCACAAGGTCAGGAGATCGAGACCATCCTGGCCAACATGGTGAAACCCCATCTCTACTAAAAATACAAAAATTAACTGAGCGTGGTGGCGCATGCCTGTAATCCCAGCTACTTGGGAGGCTGAGGCAGGAGAATCACTTGAACCAGGGAGTCGGAGGTTGCAGTGAGCCGAGATAGTGCCACAACACTCCAGCCTGGTGGCAGAGGGAGACTCCATCTCAGAAAAAAAAAAAAGCAGCTTCAGTCTGCTTTGACCGAAGGCATGAGGACTGCAGGGCATCTTGGCCTGTCCTTGTAAGGACTGCATTGGGTTTGATCAGCCCTGTGGTGATCAGGACATGCTGCGTCCACCTGTGCCACGTGGAGGAAGGATGGGGGGTGAACTCAGAGCTGGCACAACCAGCAGTGGCTTGGGGTAGGGTTGTCAGATTTAGCAAATAAAAATACAAGACACCCAGTTAATACTTAGATAGACAATGAATGAGTCTAAGTATATCCCATGCCATATTTGGAGAGACTTATACTACAAAATGATGTATTGTTCATTGGAAATTTGGATTGGATGGAAAATTTGGATGTCCTGGATTTTATCTGGCCTCTCTGCTTATGGAGGGCAGCAACAAGAGACACTGCTGGCTCTGCTACCACGGGGCCAGTGAGAGGTTGGCCTTAGAGCTTCCTTGTTTTCTGGCTGGGAAGAGCCAAACCAGATCCCCCTATTGACCCCATTCTCAGAGAGCAGCTTTCCTTGCCTGTGAGGAGGGCTGTCCGCCACCAGCAGGGAGGGAGGGAGCAAAGCTGAGGGGACAGTCCAGAGCCAGACGGCCTGGGTACTGTGGGCTCTGGTCCCTGTTTTCCTTCTCAGTTATGTGACCTTGGGCAAATCCAACCTCCGAACCTCACATTCCTCAGCAGGAAGGCAGGGTCATGGAATATCTTCCTGGAAGGGTAACTGGAAAGATTAGAGATAATGACATGGGTGGAGCTGGTACACGGCTTAGGCTGTCCTAAGAGGCCCTGAAATGGTAACTGTTATTAACAATTAATTGCAATTACTAATTGCTGGTGAGTATAATCGTTGTGGAAGCCAGGGGGAAGGAAGCCATTTGGCCTGCCTCTCAGCTCAGCTGGATGTGCTGGAGGGCTGTCTTCCAGAAACCCTAGAGGAGGGTGTCGAGATCCTGGCGGGCTGGCAGTCCCTCCGCTGTGAGGATGAGGTGCCGACTCCAAGTCAGTCCCCTCCTCCTAGAGTTGGTTGAGAGGCTTAGAGTGGAGACACACAACTCTCTGTTGAAGACACTTGGCTCTGAGGAACAAAATCCTTGTGCCTCTCTCCACCGCTTCCCCTACCCCTAAGGCTCTCCTTGAACAAGGGCAGGCCCTGCCTGTTTGTGTGGGGAAATGAAGGGGTTTCTGGGATGGCTGGAGGGGCTGGGGGTGGAGATAGGAAGGGCCTAATGAAGGGAGTTTTGTCACTTTCTGCTTGCTTCATTCCATCACTCAAACACACCACCCAACACCACCTGGAGGGGCTCTGGACTTCATTCCTCTCCCTCTGGGCACCCACGCTGCACCCCCTGCCCCTCCCTACCCCCTCGCAGTCCTGGCCCTGGTGTCTGGGGGAGGGAGGGGTCCTGGGCATTCCTCAGCAGCCTACCCCGTCGCCTGGAGACAGCTCCGTTTTCCCAGGCCCGGCCCCTTTTATCAGGGAGACAATGTGCACACAGTGAGGGCCTTGTGCGGCACCCAAGCCCCGAGCCCTTTGACTTGAGGAATTTTTCAAGTGCTGACCCCTCTCCGTGAGGTCTACACGCTGTCCAATCCAGCGGCCCGGTGCCCCTGCTGCTTCCTACCCAGCTCTTTCGGGGAGGAGGGGGGAACAGTGAAGAGTTGTTACCCCCGCCCTAGTGGAGTCTTAGGGGAGAGCTTCACCCTCGGAAACAGGAGCTAGAAAATCTGGGGGAAATGGCTTTGAGCAGAAGAGAGTGTGGGGAGAAATCTGATGGGTGCTGTTTCTTCCTAAATTTCTCTCTTCTTGGCTGCCTTTCTAAAGAACTCTGCAGATGCTGTGGGGTCTTGAGGCTGGTGCTGAGGGATCACCTTCTCTGGCCTCTGTTTCTCCTATGTGAAACAGTGAGGTTGGCCTAGGAGCATGGCCCCCAAAAGACTTTCTATCACAATGACATTCAGATTCCCAGGCACCATCTACACCCTCTGTGTTGGATACAGTTCTTTGCATGAAAAAGAAATAGACTTTGGGCCGGGCATGGTGGCTCACGCCTGTAATCCCAACACTTTGGGAGGCCAAGGCGGGTGAATCACAAAGTTAGGAGTTCGAGACCAGCCTGGCCAATATGGTGAAACCCCATCTCTACTAAAAATACAAAAATTAGCAGGGCGTGGTGGCGGCATGCTGTAGTCCCAGCTACTCGGGAGGAGAATCACTTGAACCCAGGAGGTGGAGTTTGCAGTGAGCCGAGATCGCGCCACTGCAATCCAGCCTGGGCGACAGAGCAAGACTCCATCTCAAAACAAAACAAAACAAACAAACAAAAGAGATTTATTGAAAATGTATGGGGAAGCTTGCAGAAGCAAAGGAAAATAGGGAGACCTGAGTGTCAGAAAGATGGGGCTGTTGGGTCCCTGGATCCCCGGGCCCCTCCACAGATCTAGGTGGCAGGAACAGTCTCAGGATACATCAGCTTGAGTGTCAGAAAGATGGGGCCATTGGGTCCCTGGATCCCTGGGCCCCTCTACAGATCTAGGTGGCAGGAACAGTCTCGGGATAAATCAGCTCCTGCTTGCTTTCATCCTTGTTTCTCTCTGTTCAAAAATCAAATTCCTGGGGAAGAACAAGCCCGGCTTGTTCTACTCCTTGCTCTGCGGGCACTTTGGGACAGTCCCACCAGGACTGCACAAAAAGAAGGCTTGCTTCCATCAATGCAAATGCAAATAGAACTGCTGTTACCAGAAGAAGGCAGAATGGATACAGGACAGGCCACACGGAGATGTTCCCCTGCAATGATGGAATCAGAATATCTAGACTGGAGCTCAGGAGATGAATTTATTTTTATTTTTATTTTTATTTTGAGATGGAGTCTCGCTATGTCACCCAGGCTGGAGTGCAGCAGAGTGATGTTGCCTCACTGCAACGTCCGCCTCCCAGGTTTGAACAATTCTCCTGTCTCAGCCTCCCCAGTAGCTGGGACTACAGGCACATACCACCACGCACAGCTAAGTTTTGTATTTTTAGTAGGGACGGGGTTCCACTATATTGGTCAGGCTGGTCTTGAACTCCTGACCTCAGGTGATCCAACTGCCTTGGCCTCCCAAAGTGCTGGGATTACAGGCGTGAGCCACCACGCCTGGCAGAGATGAATTTTTTAAGTGGTGTAAGGCCAAGTTTAGAAACCCCCCAAGCTAGAGGACTTGTTTCATGACGCTCCCACCTGGTAGAACTGGAACCAGTGGGGGAGAACAAAGAGGGAGACATATTTAAGCTCAGTATACAGAAAATTCATCTAATTGGCAAAGTCATCCAGAGACTGAGTGGGCTTCCTGGTGAGGGAATGAGCTCCCCTCAGGTGCAGGTGTTCAGACACAGCTGGGCTACCCATTTGGGAAAAATAATGGGGCTTAGACCATGAAAGGGTCAGGCTGCAAGCCTTTAAAAGGGAGGCTCGGCCCTGAAGTCTTTTGTTTTCTCTCTGATGTCTTCTCTATCACTTCTCATGCCCTTGCCTTGGGCAAAGTCTGAGGAGTTTCAGCGTTTCACTTGTGAGTCGTGTTTTCTCCTCCACAACCTGGTTTTCTGGCCCAGGCCCTCCAAGTGACCTTTTTTCCAAAGAGTCCCTCGGATGCACGGGTCTTCTTGAGCAATAGCTACTCCTGGGGTGGAGTAGATTTCTGCCTGAGTTACAGCCTTGCCCTGGGGGAGGCAGGGCTCTGGGCAGATGCCAGCCTCATTACAGAACGTCTAGGAAGCCCTTGGGGCCTGTGGAGGCCTGCCTGGGACGTGCATCTTCGACAGGAGAGAGGCCATCTGTGGTGGCAGGAGAAGGGATGGTGCTTCATTTCCATTTTCCTGACTTTCTGCCCTGGGTTTGCAGAAGGGACAGGAGTGTGGGTTTCCTGAAGATTTGCACTAAGCTAATTGCCATCTTCAGAATAGGCTTAGCGAAATTAGGGGTTGTCTGTGCAGCTGCTCAGAGGGGACAAATCAGTCCGTGAGTGAAGGGGCAGGTGGTAGGAAAAAGCACAGGCATAGAGAAATATTTCCCTGCTATAAGAAAAACAGCAGCATAGGCTCTATGACAGATGATATCTGCCACTTGGCTTCGGCTGCAGAGAGATGACAGGGAGCACTGGGAACTGTGTTGGGCGTGAGAACCGATGCCTCCTCTGAGGCAGCAGCTGCAGGCCCCGCAGCCAGTTTTTACCATGTGGGAATAAGGGCCTGGTGTTGTCGAGTTATTGATTTTCAAGAAAAGTCAGAAATCTGAATTTTTATATGAATGTTCTATTATTACTATTATTATTATTATTATTATTATTATTATTATTTGAGATGGAGTCTCACTCTGTTACCCAGGCTGGAGTGCAGTGGTGCAAGCTTGGCTCACTGCAACCTCCGCCTCCCGAGTTCAAGCTATTCTCCTGCCTCAGCTTCCCCGGTAGTATGCACCACCATGCCCGGCTAATTTTTTTTTTTCTTTTTTTGAGACGGAGTCTCACTCTGTTGCCCAGGCTGGAGTGCAGTGGCACTATCTCGGCTCACTGCAACCTCTGCCTCCTGGGTTCAAGCAATTCTCCTGCCTCAGCCTCCTGAGTAGCTGGGACTACAGGCACCACGTCCAGATAATATTTTTTGTGTTTTTTTTAGGAGAGACAAAGTTTCACTATGTTGGCCAGGATGGACTTGATCTCTTGACCTTGTGATCTGCCCACCTTGGTCTCCCAAAGTGCTGGGATTACAGGCGTGAGCCACTGCGCCCAGCCAATTTTTTTTGCATTTTTAGTAGAGATGGGTTTTCGCTATGTTGGCCAGGTTGGTTTCGAACTCCCCACCTCCAGTGATCCGCCCACCTCAGCCTCCCAAAGTACTGGGATTACAGGCGTGAGTCACCTTGCCAGCGAATATTCTATTTTAAAAGTATACAATTTAAGTGCAACAAAACAAGACTGTGGATTCTATGAGGTCTACTAGTTGGCAGCTTCTGATAAAGAAGACAGGAGTCAGAGTAACTATTTGGTCTAGTTCCTCTTCTGGGACTATCTCCTGGCTAGACAGTAAAAACCAGGATGGCAAGGGGGCTGTTTTGTTCAGTGCAATTTCAAGGGCCTATGTAGCACAGTGCTGAGAATATAGTATGTCCTAGATGGATGGATATGTGGATGGATGGGCGAATGTGTGGATGGATGGGTAGATGGGTGGGTAGGTGGGCGGATGGATGGATGGATGGATGGATGGATGGATGGATGGATGGATGGATGGCTGGATGGATGGATGGATGGGTGGATGGATGCATGGATGGATGAATATGTGGATGGATGGGTGGATGGATGGATGGATGGATGGATGGATGGATGGATGGATGGATTCATGGATGGATTCATGGATGGATTCATGGATGGGTAGTTGGGTGGATGAATGGATAATAAATGGTCTTAGCCTCTCTTTTGGTGCTCTGCACTTTTCACCTTGACAGGCTCCACTTTCCCTTGCCAAACAAGACACACAATATCCCCGTGATCCCCTTATCCTCCTTATGCCATCAAAAACCCTTTTCTGGGATGATCAGATGTTAGTCACTTGCACCTTGGCATGAATTACTTTTTAGTATATTACCTTTCCTGTGGGGATTTCCCCAGTTGGGCCCTTAGTAGATGCTCAATAAGTGTTTGCTGAAGGCATGATGTAGCCTTCCAAACGTTAACCCTTTCTGTGGTATGAAGAGTGTGAACTTGCAGACATCTGTAGGAATGAGGGTGACATAGTGCTGTGTCTTTAGAGAGGAGAGGGGTAGAGGGAGTGGGTGTTTGATGCCTTTTTTTTTTTTTTTTTTTGAAGATGGAGTCTCACTCTGTCACCCAGGCTGGAGTGCAGTGGCTTGATCTTGGCTCACTGCAACCTCCGCCTCCTGGGTTCATGCATTTTTCCTGCCTCAGCCTCCCGAGTAGCTGGGATTACAGGCGCATGCCACCATGCCCGGCTAATTTTTGTATTTTTGGTAGACACGGGGTTTCACCATGTTGGCCAGGCTGGTCTTGAACTCCTGACCTCAGGTGATCCACCCGCCTCGGCCTCCCAAAGTGCTGGGATTACAGGCATAAGCCACCGTGCCCGGCCCTGATGACTTTATTTACCCTAAAGGCCTATGCTGGAGAGGAAGGGAGTTCCCAGGGATTAGACAGGGAAGGTCTCCATCATGCTCGACACCAAGCAAGGTTTCATTTAGAGCAAGGCAGATGCTGCCATCTACCTCCTCTTGGAGAGAGAAAATGACCTGTCATGTTCTTAGGGACATACCCAGCTGACCTCGACCCTCCACCCATCATGCTGATGCACAGGAGGGAAAGAGATGAACATTAGTTAAACACCTGCCATGTGTCAGGGGTATCATTCATGGGGTCCTTACAGCAGATATAGTAATGTCCTTATTTTTACAGTTAAGGAAACCAAGGTTCAGGAAGGTTGACACTGGCCTGAGGCAGCACTGGAAATAAATAGCTGAAAGGGACCTGGGCTTGTCTCCAAGGCTAGTGGTGCTCACGCACTTCCTTACCTGGGGAGATCAAATTCTACCCTTGCAGCCCATCGGGGAGCAGCTCATTTGCTAGCACATTCTTGGCAGGTTACAGAGGCCCTTAAATCTGTGTCTTCATATAATCCTGTTGACAACATGTGAGTAGATCTTCTTATCCCCATCTACGGAAGAGGAAGCAGAGGCTGGTCCAAAATCAGGCAGCAGGTGCCAGAGCTGCCAACTCAAACCCAGGTCTTCTGCTCTGTGCCTGTTGTACATTAAAGGACACACCCAGGAACATTCATTTCTCTCCTGGGTGCCCCCAGGACGTACCTACTTCCTTTGCCCTTGCCCGTGTCCTTTTGGCAGACACACACATCCAGATCCTGCTGCACTCATCTTTGCAGCCCTGGCAAAGACTAGGTACCAAACATTGGATGGATGGGTGGACGGTGACCTCAGGAAGGTGACCCCTGACCTTCAGACTGAGTTGGCTGCTTTTTCTGTGGGCTGAGGGGGATATTTGTGTGAATGCTCTGTGTGGTCATTTTCTATTTTTGTGTCTGTCCCTCCCATTAGGTAGTAAGCCCCCTGAGACCAAGAGCTAGCTATGTTGTCTTTGCGCTTGTTTCCTTAAAGCCTGCAGACTCTGGCACATAGTAGGTGGTCTATCTGTGTATGTTCAGCGTCTTTGAAAGAAGCCTTTTCTACCAACTGAAGTCCAATTTCCCCTGCACCCCACATCTTATCCTCAATCACATTGGTTGTGCATTTTATTCATAGTACTTTTCTTTTTATCTATTTATTTTATTATTATTATTATTATTATTATTATTATTATTATTATTTTGAGACAGAGTCTTGCTCTGTTGCCAGACTGGAGTGCAGTGGCGAGATCTTGGCTCACTGCAACCTCCACCACCCGGTTTCAAGCAATTCTCCTGCCTCAGCCTCCCAAGTAGCTGGGATTACAGGCATGCACCACCATGCCTGGCTAATTTTTGTATTTTTAGTAGAGATGGCGTTTCACCATGTTGGCCAGGATGGTCTTGATCTCTTGACCTCGTGAACCGCCCACCTCGGCCTCCCAAAGTGTTGGGATTACAGGCATGAGCCACTGTTCCCGGCCTCAGTGTCTTTCAAAGAAGCCTTTTCTACCAACTGAAGTCCAATCTCCCCTGCACCCCACATCTTATCCTCAATTCCATTGGTCGTGCATTTTATTCGTAGTACTCATTCTTTTTATCTGTTTATTTATTTATTTTTTGTCTTTTCAATAAGCATGTAAGCTCTCCAAGAACAAGGACTACATCTGCCACTGTATCTGCTGTATCTACTCCTATGCCTGGTGTGGTGCCTAGTCCACATAAGGCTCAATAAATAGTGATTGAATGAGGGAGTGAATAAGTGATGTGAATTGTGATCAGATCCTGCCCACAAAAATCTCCTTCTCTATTGTTCTCAGAGGCAAAAGGTGGGGATCATTTGTCACATCCTGTGGCTCGGGGCCCTGTTATGTCTCAGTTTTTTGCCTCCGCAGATCCCCATACAGGCATAGGGAGTCTCATCACTCTTAGTGCATTCCTTCCCTTCCTAGTTCATTGGACCTTGCTAATTGCATGGAGGACTGAGAGGCTGCACCATTGTTTGCGGTTGAGGGGGCGGTTCCTCCCTCTGGCAATGGGAAGGTGCCAGGAGGGTGAGCTGTTCTCAGGAGAAAACAATGGAGCTAGAATCAGATCTTGGGTCCCTTTGCGTTCCAAGGTCTTTCTTCTGCCACATCTCTGCCCATCCAGCCTGCCACGTGACTCTCTTGCTAACTGGCAAAGTCTCTGAGTGTTTTGCCTTCATTTTCTGCACAGCCCATTGGTTGTCTTCCCTGCTTCTGCCTGGGCCACAAATCAGCAACTGACATGTTGCATCAGAAACATGAAAATCTCTTTCTCTATTTCCACTCCACCCCCAGTGGGGGTGGCCTGCGGAGAGACAGCTGTCCCTGGGACAGGACATTCCTGACCTCTCCTTCCTTGGAAGGACATCACCAAGCCCTGGCTGCGTTAACTCTACATACAGGATCGATTTATTGGAAAACAGTCCTGTTTGAACACAGATCCTGTTTGTATGAATTCCCCTTCTTCTGCCCCTGCTGCAGCCACAAAAGAGCCCCATACCCATTCCTCATCAGTCTCTCTCATACACACTTCCCACCTCCCTCAACTAGGGATTTCCCACCCCAGGCAGCACCAGTTTTATAATATTCTTCTTCCTGGGGCCTCAGATGTGGCAGTAAAATATGAGACCACCCACGGAGAGAGAATCTTCGTGGAATCCAGAGCTCCCCCAGGCCAAGGACTTGATTGATTGGCTGAGGTATTCAGGGAGCTTATTATGAGATTGAACATATTAGGGTGGGAAGAGGAGGCAGCCATGAGAGACAGAGCCCTTAGGCACAGCGGGTCCATCCATTTTGCCTGAGGTCAAACAGCCAGTCAATTACAGAGGCAGCAACCCCAGCCCCCAAAGGCATCTAGAATTCCAGACCATCCCTACCCTTCCCTCTGCCAGACAGAACCGTTCAGAGGCGGCTGAAGCCTGAATGAGCCCCCGGCAAGGAGGCAGCAGTCTGTGTGGCCCATCAGGAGACAGACTTCTGACTTGCAGCCAGGCGGGGGGATGGACTCCCTGACCCTCAGCTTCAGCCCCAGTCCGTCTGCCAGGCCCTGCAGTAAACATTCCAGAGATGGGCAAAACAAATGTTTCTCCTGGGAAGGTGAGGTCTCATCAAGACCACAGCTGCTTGGGTGGTATTGGTGTAGTGCAAAGTGCTTCAGGTTCCAGGTTAGAATCAAGTCGAGGAATGCCAGTTGCGAAGGTTGGCCTCGTACACACCCCCACATCGCAGTGGCTGTAGACCTGTGACTGTATTACAATGGTGTGCCAGTAGATGGCAGTCAAGTGTCTCCAGGAAAGGCCGGCCTACAGACAGTATTTCCTTACCCGGTCAGCGAACATTTGTTAAGCCTGTTGTCCTGTGCCCTAGCTCATTGTGCTGGATACTGGAGACACAGTGAGCATGGAGACTCAGTTTCTGGTTTCCAGGAGCTCACAGACTATATGTTTGGGGGCAGAGGGCAGCTAAGTGATGTGTAATGACAACGTGAAGTGGTAAGGGCTGGAATGGTTGTAAGTGCAGCGTGCTGTAGGAACCAAGGGAGGACGCTCAGCCCAGCTAGGGAAGGGGGTGCTGTCAAGGAAAACTCAGCAGAGTAGATATCACTCATAGGATCTTGAAACATGAGAAAGAGACAATCAAGGAAGTGCCAAGCAGAGGTGAAGGCCTGTGCAGAGGTTCAGAGGCAGGACAGCACAGGAGTATTTAGAGAAGCACAGGAATTTGGATGCAACCATGAAATAGACAGCAAACTGGAGGGGAAGCAGACCCCCAGTCAGCAGGGTCCAGATCATGAAGGACGCCAGGGCTCTGGACTGGATCCAAAAAGTCTGAAAGACCACTTAGGGTCTCCAGGAAAGGTACCCAAATTCTTCCCTCTAGAGTTTGGGTACCCAGATCACTCGTGTGACTTTGAGCAGAGACTTCTCCATCTGGAACACGTTGGGAGCAATCCCTGCCCTACCACCCCTCAGGGTTGGCATGAGGGTCAAATAGGAGGAAGGATGTGAAGGGTCTGGCTGTCCTTATAGGCCAAGGCCACCTCTTTTCCCCATCACCAGCCATCACTCCTTGCACCTGTGAGACAGATCAAAGCAAGGTGAGTCATAATTCTGCTTTGGAACCCCCAAGAGGGTAAGATTGTTTTGTTTATTTGTGGGTCCCCAGCACACAGCACCCACTAGGCACAGGGTAAGCACTCGATAGCTCTTTGCTCTTGTGGATTCTGTTTCAGGCCATGGACTACATACTTTGCAGCTTACTGTGTGCCAGGAACTATTCTCAGTGCTTTGTATGCCTTGTTTCATTTAATCCTCATAACAACCCTGTGAGGTGGCTACTACTATGAGCCTCATTTCCTAGGTGTGGAAACTAAGGCATTCAGAGGTTGGCTTACCCAAGCTTGCACAAGTGAGTGGAGGAGTTGGGGTCCTATCCAGGCTGTATGCCCTGAAGCCATTGCACTTTACTGCCTTGTTGCATAGAGGATTATGTGACTTTCTCACCACACCCTTCCCTGGTAGTTACTGTCACCACTTGACAAATGAGGAAACTGAGACCCAGAGGGCTAAGTGTCTTGTCTTAGAACACATGGTCAGTGAGTAGTAGAGCTAAGATTTTGCCCAAGCCTGTGTGATTGCAAATCCATGTTTTTTTTCCCAGTATGCTGGTGATTGTAATGATAGGTTACCATTCCCGGTCCCAGGCCCACCCAGTACTTCTTTTAAATTTGGAGCTTGGATTTAAAAGCAAGTGATTTTTAAATCCACGAAAGATGCCTACCTTGGATCCTGCTCTGGTCCTTATTAGCCACACCTCTCTTGACAGGCAGAGGAGTTAGGAGTGAGGGGATATTCCCACCAAGACCCTACAAATTGCACTCTTAGGCCATGCCCTGGGTACCCAAACTCTAGAATTCCCTCCTCAAAGGGACCTTAACCCAACTTCAGAGCCTATATAGGCCAATTCCTTGGTCCATTTTCCAAGGGGTGGCCAAAGGACAACCATTTGGGGAGGGGAAGGGAGTAGATGAAGCTTGGCCACGTGGTCTGGGCAATCCACATACCCGCACCAGGAGCCTCAGTGGTGCAGAGGAGAGTGGGTGGGGAATTAAGGAAGATCTTGGGTGAGGTCTGAGAACCAAGAGCTGGCAATCCTTGTGCTGCCACGTGCTGGGTAGAGTGCAAAGAATTCTGAGAAGTTTACATTCTGAGTCTTTAAGGTCATTATGAAATTGTATCTGCCAAGGAAGGAAGACAGACTCTTTGGGACTCTTTTTTTCTTTTTTCTTTTCTTTTTCTTTTTCTTTTTTTTTTTTTTTTTTGGATGGAGTTTCATTCTTGTCGCCCAGGTTGGAGTACAATGGCGCAATCTTGGCTCACTGCAACTTCTGCCTCCCAGGTTCAAGCGATTCTCCTGCCTCAGCCTCTCCTGCCTCAGCTGGAATTACAGGCGCCCACCACCACTCCTGGCTAATTGTTTGTATTTTTAGTAGAGATGGGGTTTCACTATGTTGGCCAGTCTGGACTCCAACTCCTGACCTCGTGATCCGCCTGCCTCAGCCTCCCAAAGTGCTGGGATTACAGGCATGAGCCACCATGCCCAGTGGACAGATGTCTTTTATTTAAATGTTTGCTGGCTTGATTTTGTCAATTTTAAATATTAGACATATGACCCATAGGTTTCCATTTGTCGCTTTGCCCCAGGCACTTCAAATACTAGACATGGGCTTGTCCTGGTGTCTGGAATTTGCTGATACTACCTTTAAGGATTACGATAAAATTCACAAACTGTATGAAAAGATTCTCTTTGCATGAGGCTGTCCACATGGGTATTTATTTGAAGACCATTGCTGAAAGAAAAAAAAAATCAAAATCTTGCTTTCGAGTCATACTAATAGTTCCTTTCCTACTAAACTACCGCCTAGTTGACATCTAAGCCCATCAGGACGTAAGAAAAAGTGGTGCTAATATCAGAGCTGTCAGTCAGTTTTGGGAAGAGATTAACTCCACCAGCATCAGCTAAGAGTAGGTAGAGAGACTTTGGAAGCAGACAGGCTGAAGCAGTTAGTGAATTTGTAGAAAGGATTCTTTCACAAATGGAAGGCTGAAAAATAATGGGTGATGACATCCATCTTCCAAGGAAAAGAGTAGGAGACTAAGAAGGTTGTTTAATGCTTAAAAAATTATCCATTAGAAATAAATCATGTGGCTGCATCCAGCTGATGGGAGACTTGGGGTACACATTTTTATGTACCAATCTGTCAACTCTCTTACTGTGGGAAAAGGGGAGAATGAGTATTAGGAAGCAAAGAGCTGTCTCCGTCCCAGAGAAGGTTTATGGAAATGCTTAACACAATGCTCAGTTCACAGCAAGTCACCAAGAACTATTAGTGTCATCATACCAATAATCAAAAAGAGAAAATGGAAACTTTGTTACTTTTTGTGAGACGATATCCAAACCTATAAAGACCCCAATTTTCACTGCTATTTTTCAGAGTTGAGCAAAAGCACAGATATGGAATTAGAAGTCCTGGGTTCAAATCCCTTAGGCAAAATATTTAGTCTCTCTGGGTTTCAGTTTCTTCATCTGTAAGTTGGAAATAATGATATCTACTTCGTGGTGGTGGTTGTGAGTGTTAATGAGAAAGGCTGTAGGTTAAACTCTATAGCAGAGTTTCTAGCACAAGAGTTGATACTCAACAAGTGTTTTTTCATCAGTCCATTCACTCATGTATTCATTCAACAAATATTAATCAATTTCCTACTATGTGTTAAGCACTCTGGTAGGTGTTAGGAAGAAAGTGATGAATACAATAGGTTATTTCTGACCTCAAGGAGCTGTGGTATAGTTTAGTGGTACACAGACATTAAACACAGTTACTAATTATAATTATTGTTGTAATAAATAGTATGAAAACAATATGAAGAGACTCTCAGTATAGAGATGAATCATAGGTCAGGATTAGGGTGCTTATGGAGAAAAATCACCAGGTAAATGAATTTGAGAAATAATTAAAATGTAGAATCAGTGAGTGTAGGGATGATGTCTAAACAATGGGTAGATAGGGATGTCATGTACTGATGATGGGGAAGACAGAGGCAGGGATGTAGAAGGAAGTCTGTGGAAAGAAGGAAGGAAGGACGGACGGATGGCAGATAGACAAAGGAACAAATGAGGACTGCTTTATTAGACAAATAGAAAAATAGAGAAATGGGTGAGACTGGATAGATCAATAATAAATCTTTGGTGGAGTATGTGGGGCATATAGGTATAACTCAATAAAACAATACTGCATTATTTATTTTTGTAGGATTCCCTTTTTTGAATAGTTAGAAGATTTGGATAATGGGCGTCACTAAAACATTGATTTTTGTTGAGAGTTAAAATGCCATAACATTTTTAATGTTAAAAGAACACAAACATATATACTTGAGAATGAAACTGGATCAAACAAAACTGTATTTTCTAAAGTCTTTAAATTACACACTTTCTAGCAATCATCATTCTTTTATACATTCAACATATTTCTGAAGACTAAATTGGAGGGTTGGAGGATACCAAGATAAACCATGTGTGGTTTTGCCTTCAAAGGGTAGGGGAGACAGGATTAACATATATGTGAAGATAACATGATGAAAATCATGAATTTAAGAAAAATATGGATAAAACACTATAAACATCCTTTAATTCTTTTAAAATTGATACATAATAATTTACATATTTATGGGGTACGTATTGGTGTTGTGATACATGTAACGTATAATGATTAGATTAGGATAGTCAGCATAGCCATCATTTCAGACCTTTTTATGTGGGATCCTTTTTCTTATTTAATCCTCAAAGTAACCCTTAGAAATATGTAGCACAATTATTATTATTATTATTATTATTATTGTTTGAGACTGAGTTTCGCTCTTGTTGCTCAGCTGGAGTGCAGTGGCGTGATCTTGGCTCACCGCAACTTCTGCCTTCCGGGTTCAAGCAATTCTCCTGCCTCAGCCTCCCGGGTAGCTGTGATTACATGCATGTGCCACCATGCCTGGCTAATTTTGTATTTTTAGTAGAGATGGGGTTTCTCCATGTTGGTCAGACTGGTCTCGAACTCCTCACCTCAGGCAATCCACCTGCCTCGGCCTCCCAAAGTGCTGGGATTACAGGCGTGAGCCACAGCGCCCGGCCTGTAGCAAAATTATTAATATCATTATTTTACAGATGCTAAAACTGAGATGCAGAGAGGTCAAGTGACGTGACAGAACTAGAACTTGAGCCTCCAATCTTATCCACCATCTCCCCTCTACCACACACCACCTATAAAGAATGAGAAAATCGGCCAGGCGCGGTGGCTCACGCCTGTAATCCCAGCACTTTGGGAGGGCGAGGTGGGTGGATTGCCTGAGGTCAGGAGTTTGATACCAGCCTGACCGACATGGTGAAACCTCATCTCTACTAAAAATAAAAAAAATAGCCGGATGTGATGGCAGGCACCTGTAATCCCAGCTACTCGGGAGGCTGAGGCAGGAGAATCGCTTGAACCTGGGAGGCAGAGGTTGTAGTGAGCCGAGACTAGGCCATTGCACTCTAGCCTAGGCAACAAGAGTGAAACTCCGTCTCAAAAGAAAAAAAAAAAAGACTGAGAAAATCAGTAGTGAAGGTGGGAGGAGACAGTAGGATGGCTGAGGATGTGTCTCAATATGCACCTCTGGGGTAAGGCCTTTGGGAGAAGGGAGAAAAGAGTAAAACAGCCTGCATCCTTACTCAGCTGATTTCTTCCCCTTTACAGGTCGAAGTATTTCCATGGGAAGAAGGTGAATGGAGAGATTGAGATCCGAGTGGAGCAGGTAGGTGGGAGCTGTGTCTTTAGCACTGTCAACTGACCTTTTCTGCCGCTGGGGCTGTTCTTACATGCAATCTTGGTCCCCATCTTATGTGGTCATAATGAGCCAAGATTACCAGAAAAGTCCAAGCTTATACTTGGGAGTCTCATTAAATTTCAGAATTGTTTGGGCCAGTGGTTTCCAACCTTTTATGTTTTAGCAGAGACCCTTTCTTCAAGGGAAATGTCAAATAGGAACTCATTCTACAAAAGAGAGACACGTAGAGCTGCTCTGATGGAAATGGGCAGGTGGAGCCCAACTTCTGTCTGTTCTATACCGTTCCTTTTGGCCCCTGGGGCATCTCCTTGCAGCCACCTGGGCTAGAGAGCATAGTTTAGGAACATAATGAAGGGCCTTGAATCCTGCCTCTCTCATTTTCTAGGTTTTGGGTAGGTGACTTAATCTCTCTCTGCCTTGATTTCCTTATATCATTGTGGGGATTAAATTATTTAAAACCTCAGAAGGGACCAGAATTGCAAATACTATCTCTTGCTATTGCTATTAATATCAATATCCAGGTCCCTCATTTTATGTGGAAAGAAACACAGATTTTTTTAGGGCTGTGTAGGGAGGCAGTGGCAGAATCAGGAGTGGAAGGTGTGGTCTCCTGGCTCCAGATCAAAGCTTTCTCCTGTTCGTTCCGCGAGGACCTCCTCTCTGCCAAACACTGTGCTCAGCCTTAGGAGAGCACATTTGAGCATAGGTTCTGGAGCCATACTCCAGGTTTGAATCCTAACACCGCCCCTTACTAACCTTGTGACCTTGGTTGAGCAATACTTACACTCCCTCCAGTTCAATTTCTTCATCTGTCCAACTGGGGCAATAATAGCATCAGCCTGTGTTCATAGGGTGCTGTGAGGATCAAACGAGTTAGTCCATGAAAAGTGCTTGAACAGTACCTGGCACATACTGGGCACTTAGTAAATGTTACCCATTTATCATCAGCATCATTATTCTTTATCCTCTTCCTACTCCTCCTCCTCCTCATCATCAAAGGCAAACAGTAAATAACATAGACAAGGTCCTTGCTGTAAAAATGATTTCAAAATACAATTTTTAAAATGGGGGGCATGACTGTTCTTCTCCCTGCACTTTTTGAGCTTACCGTGTCAGAGAAACAGAAAGGTCTTCTAAGCAAACTAAGTTGGCTTAATATTAAAACACCTACACTTTGAATTTCAATTTGATTCTGTGGCTTTCAAGTCAACCCAATGTCTACTGGTTTTCCTTCCATGGCAGAGAACAGGTTATTTTTGTTCATTTTGCAAATATTTGTCAAGAGTCTACTATGCTAGCTAGCTAATATGTGGAGAACGAGTATATAGAAGAAGAGGCCCAGTCTCCAAATGCCTGTGGTCTAGGAGGAGAGGTGAGCTAAGTCTTTTCTTTTCTTTTTCTTTCTTTCTTTTTTTTTTTTTTTTGAGATGGAGTCTCACTCTCTTGCCCAGGCTGGAGTGCAATGGAGTGAACTGCAACCTCTGTCTCCCGAGTTCAAGTGATTCTTCTGCCTCAGCCTCCTGAGTAGCTGGGACTACAGGCATGTGCCACCATGCCCGGCTAATTTTTTTATTTTTTATTTTTTTTCTATTTTTAGTACAGATGGAATTTCACCATGTTGGTCAGGCTAGTCTCAAACTCTTGACCTCAAATGATCTACCTGCCTTGGTCTCCTAAAGTTCTGGGATTACAGGCGTGAGCCACCACACCTGGCCTACAGAACAATAACATTGATGATGGTAGCACACTTTTATTGAACATTTACTATTTGCTAGATGCCATATTAAGTGTTTTCCATGCAGTCACTCATTCAATCCACACAGTATGCCTGTTGCTGAGGAAACTTGGGCTCAGAGAGCTTAATAAATTGCCCAGGCAGGTCACACAGCTAGTAAGAATGCAGTGAAGCTGGGATTTGAACTTACAGGTAGAAGCCAGGGATGAGAGGTCCAAACTTAGCACTCCTGGCAGCAGAGGTCACAGTCAACTGAAAGACTCAGGTGTGGCCTCGAGGAGGGAGTGGTGTTTGAAATAGATCAAAGAATGGATAGGATGTCAACAAGTGGAGATGGTGGCGTGAAGAGCGTGTGAATGGAGGAGGCAGTGTGAGCAAAGATAAGGAGACCAGAAGTACAGGGTATGGAGTGACAGGGAATGCGGTGTGGTTCTCCAAAATAGGACACATCATCTTCCCCTGCGCCCACCCTACTCCTCCCTAATTCTCTCTCTCAATGAAGAGTGTGGCCATCTACCTTCCACCTTAGCCAGAAACCTGCTCTGGCTCCCGGATGTGCCCCTCTCCCTGTACCACTGCACCCATTCAATGACTGGACCCTGCTGACTCCGCATCTGATATTTCCTGGTCCCTCCACTTCTCCCTTCATCCCCATCACCTAGATCCTTGGCTGGACCACCCTCAACTCTCGTCCAGTCTTCCTCATCAACAGCCTCACAACTTCATGTTTTCCACCCATCTCCAATGTATTCTTCATCCCAACGCTAGAGTGATCTTCCTCAAAAAGCAAATTAGGTTCTTTGAAGTGTTAGCTTTACAATCCTTTCCTCAAAGACTCCTTCTCTGAGTCTTTCCAGATTTAAATCAGGTAACCTGGTTATTCCCTTTCATAGCTCCTCAACTTTTTCTTCCTGGCCCTTATCTGAGTTTCTAGCCACACATTTTGAGTGGGACGATTTGCATGAGGGTGGAGACTATGACTGTCTGGATCTTACCCTAAGTAGCACTGGGCCTGGCACAAAAGAGAACTGAAGGAAATATTTGCAGGATGAATAACTGATAGATTCTACAGATTCCAGGCTGCTTGTCAGTTTCCAGGGGCGATAAGTCACCGCTTCTTTTTTTTTTTTTTTTTGGAGACAGTCTCACCCTGTCGCCAGGCTGGAGTGCAGTGGCGCAATCTCGGCTCACTGCAACCTCTGCCTCCCGGGTTCAAGCAATTCTCCTGCCTCAGCCTCCCAAGTAGCTGGGACTACAAGCACCTGCCACCACACCCAGATAATTTTTGTATTTTTAGTAGAGATGGGGTTTCACCATGTTGTCCAGGATGGTCTCGATCTCTTGACCTCGTGATCCACCCGCCTCGGCCTCCCAACGTGCTGGGATTACAGGCCACCACACATGGCTACCACTTCTTAATCTCCCCTCAAAAATCTGGGTTTTCCATAAACCATCTGGTAGATACTTGGTTGCCAGCTGAGCTCACCCTGCCTCATCCCATGTGTGGAAATCCCAGGGGCATGTTTTAATTTTCCCCTTTTATCTTAGCAATGCCATTGGCCCAACTTGTCAGTACAAAATCTATGAGCAGGACCATCAGGGAATTGCCCTAAGAATAACTCACCCAGGGGCTCTGGGGCCCGTCAGCCAGTCTATGAAGTCTACAATCACACTGAGAAACCTTGGCTAATTTAGAGTCATTCTGATTTCCAACCTGCCCCTCTATGAAAGCCAGAAGGTGAATTAGCCAGGAAACCAATTAGCAGGTCATTTGGGCATTTTTCCCCAGTAGACATACCTTTCCAAATCCATCTTGGAATCAGAATCACTTGTCTTTGCCCATCTGTATCAATGGGTGGAACACACAAGCAACCCCCCCCCCAGGAATCTCACATGCATCCTTTAGCACTTGGGAAAAGTCTCAGGACGGAAGCCACTGTTTAGTCTGAGCTGGCCTCACATTTTGGGATCCTGTCTCCCAACCAAGGGCCAAATTAACCAGATAATTGCACTGTCTGGGTTTTGCTGGACAGAGCGAATGAGTTAGTTGTGGTTGGCCTAGAGGAAGCCTCCGCCCCTTCTCTCCATCCTCTTCCCCCCAGTCTAAAAACTGCTTGCCTCAACTTTTACAGAGCCAGGAATCAAGAAACCCTGGGGAGGCCCGTGGAGGAGACAGCACATTTTGCATTCTATTACCCAGAATGCCCTACTGGCTCTGCGGGGCCCTCACAGCAGTATCCTAGTAGGGTCTGAGAGGATCAGGCCAGGATGGTTGGCATGTCAAACTCTCCTCTGTTTATATTTGAGGCAAAGGGTCTTTTTCTCCACAGGCACAAGTCACCCCTCTGTGGGACCAAGCAGTGAGGTTGATGAATGGATTAATATTAAGTAGACTCACAGTTCTGGGACATCAGTGGACTAGGACTTGCTAGGGTAGAGCCTCAGTCTCTAATTTTTAAAAGAGAAGACTGAAATCACCACGGCCAGTCTTTCCTCCGTGTTGACAGAGGTACCAAGGCAGAAAGAACACTAATGCCTTGCTCTAGCAGGTGGAGCAAAAGGCAAGAGAAGGTATAAACCCTGCCCTTGAGCAACTCCCAATCCAATGAAGGAAGCCAGAACGACCCATGGATTTACATATGAATACTAGTTGCTCCTTTGAGTACTGTCCTTGTGTAATATTGGGTTGGGATGGGGTTAGGAAACTGTCCAGGGGAGGCTGCTGTTGGGAGACCTGTTCATCTTCTGCCCTTTATGTATTTAACATCAATGTCTTCTGAATGGAAAGATGAGATATTCCCCTTAAAATATTTTAAACACTTCAGACCCCGTATTTATATTTTCTCACATGCACTTCAGCCTTCAACCCACAATTCTTTCTGGGACATTTCTTAGAATGGACCTTAGCTGTAGATATTGACCATAAAGACCAGGTGATATTTCAAGAAACAGTTGTCAACAAGATAGAGAAGTGTAAGTTGGATGTTAATTCAGTTTGGTGGTTTGGTAACAGGTTGAACATCATCCTCATTAGGAAATGATTACTTGATAGAAATAAATACACCTTGGGAGAAATCTAATGGCTTGCCAAAAGGCTTGTCCTTGGCTTTGTTTTCCTTCTTACTAGTGACTTATGAAATTACATTTGCTAATGACTTTAAACTAGATGGGAGAGAGAATACGCCAGATTAAATTTGATGTGATCAAATTGAATAGGAATACAATATAAAGTCGAGTCGGTGGTGGCAATTCCTGCAGCCTCAGTGAGAGGGAGAGTGCAGGTTCGGCTGGTTGCAGTAGCTCACGCCTGTAATCCCAGCACTTTGGGAGGCCCAGGCAGGACTGCTTGAGCCCAGGAGTTCATGACCAGCCTGGGCAACATTGTGAGACTCTGTCTCTGCAAAAACTAAAAAATGATGACTGACGACCTTAAGCTGATGGGCTGAGTTCAAAAACTCAGCTGTGAAGGAGCAGGATTAAGGAGACTTTTTTTTTTTTTTTTTGAGGCGGAGTCTCACTCTGTCGCTGGGCTGGAGTGCAATGGTGAGATCTCCGCTCACTGCCACCTCTGCCTCCTGGGTTCAAGTGATTCTCGTGCCTCAGCCTCCTGAGCAGCTGAGATTACAGGCACCTGCCACCAGGCCCAGCTAATTTTTGTACTTTTAGTAAAGACAGGGTTTCACCATGTTGGCCAGGATGGTCTCAATCTCCTGACCTCATGATCCACCCGCCTGAGCCTCCCAAAGTGATGGGATTACAGGCATGAGCCACCGCACCCAGCTGGGGAGACCTATCTTGTTAACATCACATGAGAAAAACGAAAAAGACCTAACATTTGAGTTGAGCACAGCTTAATATGTGTGGGAGGAAATGCGGTGTAGGGGTTAAGATCGTGGCTCCAGAGTAAGATAGACTGAAGATGAAATCTCAGCTCAGTCATATTTTAGCTGTGTTTGCTTTTTACCTAAAACATCTCTAAATCAATTTCCTCACCTGAAAATGATGAAATAAATTTTATTCCCTAGAGTTATTGTGTGACAAAATGAGTTAATGTAATATGCTGAACATTTGTTTCCGGCACATGTATTAGGTGCTCAATAAACTACAGTTGAGATTGCTACTCCCCTAAAACCTGATGTCACTTCAGGCTGCACTATCAAACCACAGCAGTTAGAATGCAGGAAGGTGATAGTTCATACACTCCCTCTTACATGCACACACACACACACACAATGCTAGTGAGACACTCTAATAAGAGATCCAGTTGTGTGTTGCTCTGGAAGGGGGTTGCAGCAACCTGGAATGCCTTCTGAAAAGGGATTGGAGTAAGGGAAACTAAGGCCAATAAGGAAAGAGGATTCGTTTAAGGAACTGGAGATGTTTAGTCCGGAGGAAGAAAGGTCTCTGATAGGTCCCAGTCTACTCTTTACAAATATCTACCTCTTGAACAAGTATGGTTGATAAAGTAAGTTACCATTTGTTGAGTCCTTATGAGATAAAGCTGAATGCATTTTATGGGTGAAGTAGGCACTGTTATCACCTCCATCTTTCAGAAACTGAGACTCACAGAGAGTAAGTGTCTTGCCCAAGGTTGCCCAACTAATAAGTGGCATGGGTCTGTTTTTGAACCTAGCCAGTCTGACTTCAGGGTCCTCTTCTTATCCACTGTATATTTTTTTCTTCCAGTGTTGTAAATATCAAGAACAATAAGCAAAAGTATTGATTAAAGCACTTGACATGCATAATCTTATTTCAACCTCACAATGCCTCTTTAAGATGGGTACTTTGAGTTGGGTGCAGTGGCTCATGCCTGTAATCCCAGCACTTTGGGAGGCTGAGGCAGGCAAATCACCTGAGGTCAGAAATTCAAGACCAGCCTAGCCAACATGGCGAAACCCTGTTTCTACTAAAAATACAAAAATCAGCCAGGCGTGGTGATGCATGCCTGTAATCCCAGCTATTTGGGAGGCTGAGGCAGGAGAATCGCTTGAACCCAGGAGGCAGAGGTTGCAGTGGGCGAAGATCGTCCAGCCTGGGTGCGACAAGAGCAAAACTCTGTCTGAAACAAACAAACTAACAAAAGATGGGTACTTTGTCCCTTTTAGCAGATGAAGAAGCTGGGGCTCAGAGATGTTAAACAAGCAGCAGAAATGGGTGATAGAGGAGGAATCTGAACCCAGGTTTCTGTGCTAAGTATCACCCTCTATTGTTTCACTGGAGTTCGAGTTCAGTCTATTGGTGCAATCCTACAGGAAGATGGATTTCAACTTGGTCTACACAGAAACTGTTAAGTAGTGCTGAACTAATAAGGAATGGGCCATGCCTTTTTTGTAGGTAGGGCGCCTCCTGTGCTGGAAATGCTGTGGCAGAAACTGGGTGGCTACCTTGGGGAATATTTCACAGGAAATTAATGTGCTTATAGGAGATAACCTTTATTAATCTTTTTCTTTTTTGGCGGGGGTAAAAGTAGTATATTCAAATAGTTAAAAATTGAAAAGCTACACAGTGGTATGTGGTGAAAAGTCTGCCTCCCACTCTGCCCGCACCAATCTAGTTCTCTTCCATGTACTTAACTATTATCACTAGTTTCTTGGGCACCTTTCCAGAGAAGTTTTAAATGCAATGAGCAAATACATATATATGCTTTTCACAGAGGGTGGTTGGTTAGAAAAACATCAACCATGCTATGTATTTCAGAGGGAATTTAACAAGGAGGATTGATTACAAATGGATCAAAAGGGGAAATCATTTTACCCAGAGGCACAACAGTCCTACATTCACTGTTTGTCACTGTCACTATTGTCACTGAGGAATGAGGAGCCTGGGCTCTTTTTTGTTGTTGCTGTTGTTTTGTTTTGTTTAGTTTTTGAGACAGGGTCCCCCTCTTTCACCCAGGCTGTAGTGCAATGGTGTAATCATGGTTCACTGTAGCCTCAAACTCCTGGGCTCAAGTGATCCTCCCACTCCAGCCTCCCAAGTAGCTTGGACCACAGGTGTGCACCACCATCCATGCCCAGCTTTTTTTTTTTCTTCTTTGTTTAGTTTTTGTAGTGATAAGGCATCGCGATGTTGCCTAGGCTGGTCATGAACTCCTGGGCTCAAGCAATCCTCCTGCCTGGGCCTCCCAAAGTGCTGGGATTACAGGTGTGGGCTACTGCACTTAGCCAGACCTGTGCTTCCACTGAGGCTACAGGAATTGCCACCACTTGTTCAAACTGCTATAGTTGTTGGTGAAGCTTCTGTAACTACCACTAGAAGCAGAATTGTTGCTGCCTTCTTTCTACCTTCAATTCCTGCATGAATGCCTCCCATTGGTAGAAATGAGCTGAAATTATGTGGCAAAAGGATCTGGGGAATGCAGATTTTAGGCTTTCAGCTCCCATAGTGCAGGAGAGACTATAGAAGGATGAGTGGCAATAGACAGTGACTGGCACAGTCCACCCCTTTGGCTACTTGGCATCTACACATGCCTTTCTCCTTATCCATACTCCACTGCACCCTCATTTTTCACTTAATATTTCTTGGAGTTTATTCCATGAGAGTATATGCAGACCTGCCTCATTCTTGTTAAGGATGGCCTGGGGTCTGTCATATGGATACACCATAATTTGTTTTCCATAATTTTACTATTATAGACAATGCTAAACTTATGTCATTTCAAACATTTATTAATCGATCTGTAGGATTCACTTCTAGAAATAGGATAACTTGTTCCAAAAGCATTGCAGGTGGTGGATGCTGTAATGCACATTGAGGAATGAAGGACTTTTCTTCATTCCTCTGTCATTCCTCCTTGAAAGTGCCTCAGATGAGGAGAGCTGCCTCTTCCAAGGTCACATCTCCTTCCTGGTGGCAGTTACATCCAATGACTGGCCGTCAGAGGCTATAATAAATCCCTGTCCCCATCACCCCAGTTTGGGATAACTCTGAAGGGCTGTCCGGCTTCAGAGCTTCTTGCAGAGTTGCCGGAGACCTCTGCTGAGACGGCTGTGTGGCCCAAATTCTCACAGTCCTGCTTCCTTTCTTTTCTTCCCCCTTCCAGTGATGGAGCTCCCAGGGAATTCACTAATAAACCTCCCCCCAGGCTAATATCCATCCCAGGGTCTGCTTTCCAGAGAACCCAACCTAAGAGAACACATTTATAATTTTGATAGATATTGCAAAATTACTTTCCATAGAGGTCACATAGAATTCATCCGTAAGACTCTTCTGGTCTCGATTTCTAGGACTGTACGTGACCCGTGAGTTCTGGAGTCCATCCTGCACAGAATGCTTTCCTGGTTACAGCCCAGGCATGGATGCTGAACTCTGAAGTGCTCCATAATTTGATCTTCCTATTTGACCTCCTTGTGTTTGAAATTCACCAGAGCTTGGTGTTTCTCTGCAGGACTGAGTCGGACAGAACTCTACCCGCTCTGATCCACTAAGCCTTGTTTTGTTAACACAATCCTGCAAGATTTATTTGTTTGGCTTGGCTTACCCTGACCTCAGATGTTCTGTTTTGTATTATTTTTAAAAGCGTGCAGGTCTCCATGGAGGCCTTTTTCTTTTCAAATCTAAGAACCAGCTGGGGGGATAAAAAAAGCAGGTGGAATACTAGGGCCCATTAGCTGAAACATAACTCATTAGAGAAGTGAGTGTTTCCCTTCCTAACCATGGCATTGATTAATGTAGGTTTATCAGCTTCCTGGGTCTACCTTTAGGCTCATCAACTTAAGAACTCTACAGAAAATGGAGAAACAATAACATTGATGATAGAAGCAAAGTTTATTGAACATTTACTATTTGCTAGGTGCCGCATTAAGTGTTTTCCATGCAGTAACTCATTCAATCCACACAGTATGCCTGTTGCTGAGGAAACTGGGACCCAGAGAGCTTAAATAAATTGCCCAGGCATGTGACACAGCTAGTAAGAATGCAGTGAAGATGGGATTTGAACCCAGGTCTGGCTAACTCCAAGGTCTTAGTTCTTAATCAAAGTACATTTATCAGAATATATGCTGGTCATGAATTTGTCTTTACAAAGCTTTTTGCCTTTCCCCTTCCAGCTTGAGTACGTATCCCACAGTATCTTCCTATCTCACCCTACTCTTTTGATCTACTGGGTAAATTACAAATTCATATGAGGTGTTTTCCCAGCAAAACAGTCCTCTTTTCCTGACTAACCCCAATGGTTATTATTCATCATTTCATGTTTCTGGCTTATTCCTGCATAGTTTCTCTGTTAACAATTCTATATTTTTTCATTGTTTTCCCCCAAGGGCTGATGTTCATTATTGTCTTTAAACGTAGCTCTCCGTCTTTACCTTTTTTTTTCTTTTTTTTTTTGAGATGGAGTCTCGCTCTGTTGCCCAGGCTGGAGTGCAGTGGCGTGATATCTTTTTTTTTTTTTTTCCAAATAGAGACGGGGTCTTGCTATGTTGCCCAGGCTGGTCTTGAATTCCTGGGCTCAAGTGATCCTCCCACCTTGGCCTCACAAAGTGTCGGGATTACAGGTGTGAGCCAACACGCCCAGCTAAGCTCTATGTCTTTAGACTGTCTGGATAGTATAATAGCTTGGACTCTCAAGCCAGATCAACTAGGTTTGAATCCCGGCCCCACCACTTCCTGAGTAACCTTGAGGTGGTAATTTAACTGCCCCATGCCTCAGTTTCCTCATATAAAATAGTAAGTGCGCATATAGTTGTGAGACTGAAATAAGTTACTATAAGACTGCATGAAGCACTTGAAGCAGAGCCTAGCATATAGAAAGTGCTTAATAAATATTAGAACTATTTTTATGATCAGCTTCACGTCACTAAACACATTTGTCTGAGTAGTTTCTAGGCTTCAGTCTCTTGAAGCATTCAGAAATAGAAAGGATATAATCCATGCACTGAAGAAGTTTGCAGTGCAGTTTGTGGGATAAAAAATATAAAAAGCTTATGTTTGTGTGTGTGTTTTGATTATTTACACATATGTTCAATCATAGTTCCCATTGATATACAACATTCAGTTGGCACCTGTCATCCATTTCTAACGTCTCTTTGATAGTAGATAGCACAGACTCTGGACCTGAAGAAAAAATGCAATGAATGTTTGTTGAGTGAATGCGTGAGTGAGTTGAAGGTGTGACATAGTCATGGAAGGATAGAGCCAGGGAGTGTCCTAGGAGATTATCTAATCCTGCTCCCTTGTTTAACAGCTGAAAGGTTCAGAGAGGGGAAGTGACTTAGCACACACGTGAAATTATTGTTGGAGTCCAAAGTGTGGAGAGCACTAGCTTTCATCTCCTGGGTCCCTGCTTTTCACACTGCATTTCTCCCCCTGCCCATGCCATCTTTTGTTTTTCCCTTTTAAGAAGCCATTAGTCCCTTCTGATGGTTTTAATAGCAAGCAAAAAAATAGCAAAAACAAATGAAGTTTATGTTTTTCACGTTTACCTGTGAGAAGCCTTCTTCTTGGGAGGAGCCTAGGATAGAGTGCTGAACCATAGCTGATAGCCAAAGGAGAGCTCCAAGCAGCGAGGGCTGGGGAATGCTGAAACCAAGGTTGAATGAGCCCCGCTGATTCTGAACACAACATGGACTGTGTTGCCCGTTGCATGACCCTTTAGACTCTCCTCTTCTTTTCTGCTGGAGGAGAGTACAGCATCCTGGTTTGGTGGCACCATTCAGCACCTGCACTGGAGATGAGAAGGAAGGAGGCATGGGAGTCAAAGGGAGTCCATCCTCTTGCACTGGGAAACCCAGCTCAGTTCCTTGGCCTTTAGCTGCTGTGTTTGGAAATTCACCTTTCCTTACTGCCACACCACTTCATCAGCATCAGCACGGCCCCCTGTTAGTACCATTGATAAATGAGACTCCAGTGGAAATTAAGTGGACATTCTGAAGGAGAACTTAGTAAGCCCTTTCACTTCTTGAAGGATGTGTAACAAAACAAACAGAGCTTGTCTTATCTGAACCTGTTCCTTCATTCAAGAAGCACTCACCGAGCACCTGCTCTGTACTTTGTCCTAATGACAGAGCCCTCCACACTCAAAGGGTTCTTTATCTGGTGGGAAGATAGACATTGAAGGCAGTGGCCAAAATGTGTTGCGACGAGGATCTCTCTATCGTAGAGATTTGTCTAACCTTGGGATGTTCTCAGGAAAGACCTCACAGAGAACCTGATGTGCAGCTGGGTTTGGGGACAAGAATTAGGTGAGGGTGAGTGGGCAGATGTGCACATTGGGCCTTCTAGCTAAAGAGCATGATTCAAGTCTCAGCTTGTCACGTACAGGGCAAATGACCAGGGTATGCCATGCATGAGAAGGGTTGGTGGGAGACGAAGCTGACAAAGAAGGTGGAGGGCAGTCTATTCAGGGTGGGCTATTAGTGCAAGGCATGCAACTAAGAATTGTGTCCTAGAGGCAGGATGTATGTATTGAACTTTTTAAGCCATGGAGTGCTGTGACCGTGATTTCATTTTAGAATGCACAGGCTGACAGTGGTCTTAGAAGATTCGCTGGATAGGAATGGTGGCTTGAGACTGGAGGCAGAAAAGCTCAGCTCTGGATTTGGTGCAAAAGTCATCTCATCCTTGAATATGATGCTTGGGTAGGAGGCACATGGAAGGGACTTCATAAGTGTTAAGTGAATGCATGTACATCCTCGCCACTGTGTTCCTTAACCACTTGAGCCATTCTCATACCTGTAATTCGTATTTGAAACTGGAGGAGAAGAGATGACCTATTTTTCTTAAGACTGAGAGGATGGAGTCAGACCCACATGATGTGTTTCAGCTGGCATTTCTTGAAAGCGAGCCATTGCCAACCTCCTCTTGTTCACCACCTTAGTCCAGCCACTTGGACTAAGCCGTTTCACACTGCACATGTCAACTTGCTCCCAATCTGCCTAATCCCCAGCCTTGTGATTCCTTCATCTGTTGATGATCTCCCTCCCCATGCGCTACTGCCCCTGGTTACACCACTTCTCCAGCGTGGCCTTCAGCTTTTGTGTGGCTACTCTACATTTTCTGCCAGCTCTGCTGTTGTCTGTACCATTTGGGGTCTGGCCCACTCCCTGATGAGAGGAGCCCCCACTGGGCTCACCCCAGCCCTGCCAGCAGCCTCTGCCCGGATGTGCTTACACAGTGGATTTGAGCCTTTGCATTTCAGTGGGAATCAAGGGTTATTAATTAACCTAGGGTGGAACCTATTATGAAACATCCCAGAAAACTGGAATGAACCAAAGGGACTTCTGAACTCACAGCAGGGAAAAATGCCTTTTAATTGACTTGGATGACTTCACTGCAAAAATCTGTCTGGCTGTTATGCTAAACTGGAAACTAATCTATTAGATTGTCTAAGGAATCTCCCAGCCCACTCTAAGCAGAGTCTCCTGAGGAGGGGAGTGAGCTGACATATCAACAGGACTTAGGCATTGAAATGACTTCCTTTGGATCATACACAGTCTGGGCGCATTTTCTAGTCCCTCAGGAAGGAGCTGGGAGGCTGATAGCAGAGAACGAGTTTATGTGCCCTACAATGTCTATCTTTAGTATCACATAGGATTTTAGTAGTTCTAAGGCACTATTTACTTTACAATAGAATTCAACCTAAACTGGACCCGTTTTGGTCCAGTCTTGGCCCCCTCATCTCAGGGAGTTTTAGAGGGTGACCTGAGAGAGTTTCCACTGGCGGTGCCTGAGGCAGATGGCAGCTGTACAGCCTGGGCTCTGAAGGAATTAATGATCATAGGCAGTATCTAATCACATGCTTACTAAGTGTCAGGCACACGCTAAGCATTTCATATGGATTAGCGTGTTTCATCCTCATCATGACTCTGATGAACAGGTACTATGAGTTCCCCCATTCTCCAGATGAGGAACCTGAGGCTTACCCAAGGCCACACAGCATACAAGTGGCAGAACTGGAATTCAGAGTCAGTTTAACTGAAGAATCTGTGTTTATGGTTCTTTTTATTTTATTTTATTATTTTTTGAGACAGGTTTCACTCTGTCACACAGGCTGGAGTGCAGTGGTGTAGTCATGGCTCACTGCAGCCTCAACCTCCTGGGCTCAAGCCATCCTCTCACCTCAGCCTCCTGGGTAGCCGCGATGACAGGTGCGCACCACAACACCTGGCTAATTTTTAAAATATTTTGTAGAGACAGGGTCTCACTGTATTGCCCAGACTGGTCTCAAACTCCTGTGCTCAAGTGGTCCCCACAGCTTGGCCTCCCAAAGTGCTGACATTACAGGTGTGAGCCACCATGCCCTGCCTGTTTATGGTTCTTAATCTTTATGCTGGCTCATCTGGGAAGGTGTATCCTGAAGCAGTAAAATCCAGGGAAGGCTTGGTCACTTTCCTCTCATGCATAAAGGGCTGACCTGTGCATTAGACTTGTTTTGGGGGTCTCAAGCTCTGCACACAAGGCCCTCCATGAGCTTGCCCCTGCCTGCCTTTCCTTGCTCATCTCCTCCCGTGCTCTACCTTAGACTTCGGTCTCACCAAACTGCTGTGGTTCCCCAGTGCCCACCCATGGTAATACCATCTTGGAGTCACATCTCCATGCCTTTGCTTATGCACGTCTCTCCTCCTGGGACATCCTTTCTTAGATTTTGCCATAGATTCTTCAACATTAGCTCCAACATGATGTCTGTGCTGCTTCCTCTGCCCTCCCCCTCCATCCAGGCAGGGTGAGGTGCCTCTTCCCTGTACTCCCCTAGCACCTCATACCTGTGTCTACATCACACTTCCCAGATGACTTTGAGATTACTAATTCACCTGCCCCTCGCTCCCTGTAGACTCTGGGCTCATTGGGAACAGGGACAGTATCTTTATTCATTCCACAAATATTCATTGACTGCCTATGTGCTGCGTGCTCAGGTTACAATGGTGATTAAAAACAGATGGAATCTGGCCGGGCGCGGTGGCCCGTGCCTGTAATCCCAGCACTTTGGGAGGCCAAGGCGGGCAGATCACAAGGTCAGGAGATCGAGACCACCTTGGCTAACACAGCGAAACCCCGTCTCTACTAAAAATACAAAAAATTAGCCGGGTGTGGTGGCGGGCGCCTGTAGTCCCAGCTACTCGGGAGGCTGAGGCAGGAGAATGGCGCGAACCCGGGAGGCGGAGCTTGCAGTGAGCCGAGATCGTGCCACTCACTTCAGCCTGGGCGAAAGAGCGAGACTCCATCATAAAACAACAACAACAACAACAACGAAAAAGCCAGATGGAATCTCTACCTGATGGAACTTAACATCTAATGGCAGGGGCCAGAAATTAATCATATTATCTATCTGTCTCTCTCTCTCTTACGCACACACACAAGCATGCACACACACACACACACACACACACACACACACGTACGCACCATAATTACAAACTGTTAGAAGCCGTGAAAGTAGGGTACACAGTGCTATGGTAGACTGTGGTGGGGAGGCTGGCAGGACACTTATTCGGTACATAATAGGTGCTCCAAGGACCCAGATACCTAATCTGTGTTCAATATATATTTCTCAAACTTATCCAGAGTGGGGAAAGATGAAAGAAGCTAAAGAGAAAAGCTTTAGGCTACTGCAAGAACCCAAAGAGCCTTTGGCATGGTAAACAACACAAACAAAGCATTAGCCCTGCAGGAATCATGCAGATAAATCATTGATATAGTACAGTGCAGGTAAAGCAAGATTTGACATTAACATTTACACAATGTGCAAGCCATCCTCTAAGCAGTTTATCTGTATACATTTAATTTTCATCACCACCCCACAGAGTACTGATGGAACTGAGACTCAGAGAGGTTAAGTGTCCTGCCCGAGGCGACACAGCTAGGAGATGGCAGAGCTGAGATGTGGACCCAGATGCTCCAGAGCCCATACCACTGACCCCTGCATTGACCACCTTTCTATCTCATCTGTTGAATGGGGACTGATCGAGGTGCAGTTTCTTGCTTGGGTCATGCTGCTGGTTACTGTAGAGTCAAACTACCATCTGCCTTTGTCTCCTCCTTGCCAAGTCTGACTTTAGACATCCTAAGGGGAAGAACTTGGCAATAATAAAAGGTCAGCACCAGACAGGAAATGGAGCTAAGTTCTGTCATGGGGCATCAAGGGTTGTACTTGTGGAGTTCTGAGTATATGGTCAAGAAGGAAAATAAACTATTAGTTCAGTGATGTGCTTTTCATTGCCCTCATGCGTTTAACTTTTCAACATATTTCGTCCTTCAGCAACTCCTGAGGTGTAAGGCTCATTATTATTCAGATGAGGAAATTGAGGCTTGGCAAAGTTGAATAGGTCATTGCTTAGTTAGTGGCAGAATTGTGATCATAACCTGTGTCTACCTGTTTTCCCCTGACTCACCTGTTGCCCAGCCAGACTTGAAAAATGACCTGCTTCTTACAGCCTAAAGCAATTTTTCAGATCCATGTTCTCAGGGACCACAGACAGCCTCTCTGGGTTTTCTGACCTTTCTTTTTTTTTTTTTTTTTTTATTATACTTTAAGTTTTAGGGTACATGTGCACAACGTGCAGGTTAGTTACATATGTATACATGTGCCATGTTGGTGTGCTGCACCCATTAACTCGTCATTTAACATGTTAATGCTATCCCTCCCCCCTCCCCCCACCCCACAACAGGCCCCGGTGTGTGATGTTCCTCTTCCTGTGTCCATGTGTTCTCATTGTTCAATTCCCACCTATGAGTGAGAACATGCGGTGTTTGGTTTTTTGTCCTTGCGATAGTTCTTAAGCCATGTTGCTGGAACCTTCCTTTCTTCCCTAAGCAACAGCCCTGAGGTTCATGTCGTGAGCTAATGGGTGAGTTCTTGGCCTGTTTAAAATGGAACTGAACTGGTGCCCTCCCCACCCAGCCCACCTCAGGGCCTGCCTTCTGTCCAGACAGGGAGGAGACGGGAAGGCTCACCCCCTCTAGTGCTGCCAGGAAAAGCAAGGGAAAGCAGAGGGGCCTGAACCTCCCCTTGCTGGGCCAGCCAAGTGCCAGAAACCCCAAACTTTGCATTCATTGGACAGAACCAGATTTTGATTACTCGTCTTAATTTGCTTATTCTTGTACAATTGCTTTGGTCTCTCACTGGCTCCCTTAGCTCTCCACGGTGCAGGCTCCTCAATGTCTATGGGATGAAGGCCAAAGTCTTTAGGCAGCACCAGGGCCCTTCCTAACCTGGCACCAGCCTCGTTTTCTCACCACCTCTCTTTTCCTCTCTCTGCTTAGTGGTCCCCATGAGAGACATTGGAGGAGGCAAATAATTAATTTATAAGGTTTCTTGTTTATGGTGGCTTTCCCTCAAGTTCTGCATGTTGGTGTCCAAAAGTGTTATTTCTATATAATGAATATCTATGCATCTGACCATTTG
This sequence comes from Homo sapiens, assembly GCF_000001405.40. Lineage (NCBI taxonomy): Eukaryota > Metazoa > Chordata > Mammalia > Primates > Hominidae > Homo > Homo sapiens. The sequence continues at coordinate 32,963,536 of NC_000022.11, read as the reverse complement.
TTCAGTCATCCATCCATCCATCCATCCATATACTTATGCTTTCTCCATCTCTCTAGAACCTAACTCTCCAGGCTTCTGTTTTGCGGTCTCTAATCAGTTCAGAACTAGGTTTTCCTTCCCCTAAACACCTTCATTAAATTTAGTATTTTGGGCCAGGCACAGTGGCTCATGCCTATAATCCCAGCACTTTGGGAGGCTGAGGTAGGCAGATCACATGAGGCCAGGAGTTTGAGACCAGCCTGGTCAACATGGTGAAACCCTGTCTCTACTGAAAAAAAAAAAAAAAAAAAAAAATTAGCCAGGCATGGTGGCACATGCCTGTAATCCTAGCTGCTCGGAGGCTGAGGCACGAGAATGGCTTGAACCCGAGAGGCAGAGATTGCAGTGAGCCGAGATTGCATCACTGCTGTCCAGCCTGGGTGATGGAGTGAGACTGTGTCTCAAAAAAAAAAAAAAGTATTTTGTAATGTCAATAATAGAGACAATAATAATATCTTAAGCCATTTATCCCTCTCTCTATATAAATGTATATATACATATACATACATATACAAATCTATATATATACATTTATACCCATATAGAGAGAAATTGTTTAAGAGTCATTATTATCTATATTGATAGATAAATATTTATATATATATAGAGAGAGATAGGTAGATAAGTAGGTAGGTAAGACAGACAGATAGATAGATAGATAGATAGATAGATAGATAGATAGATAGATAGATAGATGCCGATACTCTGCCAAGACTTTACTATCTATAACCCAATTTTCTGCTTACAGTGATCTTGTGAGTTACCTGTTACTATTACAGACAAAGAAACTAAGGTTCAGAGAGGCCCAGCAACGCAGCTTAGAATTGGCAGAGCCAGGATTTGAACTCCTGTCTGTCTGGCTTCCGTCTGGCTCCCAAGCTGCCCATGCTCTATAAAACACTGTGTCCTCCTCACTCCCACAGCTAACTCGCCGCCTCATTCCTGAGATATCATCTGCTCTCCCCATCATACTGCTTCCGCGTGGCTTTGGGTTTCTTTTCAGTCTTACCTTAACTGTTCTCTGCATGTATTTAATGGGAAATTACATTAAGATTCTAAAAGTAGGCTGGGCGTAGTGGCTCACGCCTGTAATCCCAGCACTCTGGGAGGCCGAGGTGGGCAGATCACAAGGTCAAGAGATCGAGACCATCCTGGCCAACATAGTGAAACCCCGTCTCTATTAAAAATACAAAAATTAGCCGGGTGAGGTGGCAGGCGCCTGTAGACCCAGCTACTCAGGAGGCTGAGGCAGGAGAATTGCTTGAACCCAGGAGGTAAAGGTTGCAGTGAGCCAAGATCACGCCACTGCACTCCAGCCTGGCGACAGAACGAGACTCTGTCTCAAAAAAAAAAAAAAAAAAAAAAAAAGAGATTCTAAAAGTAAACAGGCTCCTTCTCACTGACTCCTCTATAGTATTTTATTTGTGTGGAGGAACATTTTTTTGCTGCCTCAGTAGGAAGAAGCCATATTTTGAGACACTTTGGTTTGATGGACAGAGCTGTACCCGGGATCAGATGGACAAGGGCTTGAATCGTGGCTTTGCCTCCTGTTACCTGGGGGACTTCAAGGGAGTGGTTCAAGGTTCCAAGCTAATGTTTCTCTATTCACAGAATGGAGCTAGTAACCGCAATGCTACTATGTCCAGCACACGTTGAGAATTTGGTCTGTTTTAGTTAACACTAAGGGAACTTTGGATGTAAGTTGACTCATTTGTAAAAGGAGGAACTGGGAAATATACAGAGCATGTGCAACCCCCGGCCCTCCGCTGTTCAATGAAGGCAATGCCTTCCAGCCCAGCTGAGGGGCGGCCTCATTATCTTTCTCTGCACAGCAGCCAGAGCTGGCAGCAAGACCAAACCCACTGGATGACCTGAAAAGAACTTGCAGTTCTCACATTCTGTGGGGTTGCTACGAGGCTACTTAAACAGGATGGTAAATTATGGATAAAGTGGTTGGATCATGAGATGAGCTCAGTTGGTAAATATATGATGGGGGTGAAACCAAAACCCACTGACAACACAACTCTACTTTTTCTAGCCTAGAGTGTCTACTGAAACAAGTATTTTCCAACCATGCTCCTTAGAGCCCTACTTTACCACAGAGGTACCTGGGTACTCTGTGAACTGTTGGGCATCCTTGGAAGAGTAGAGAGAAAGAGAGAGAGAGAGAGAGAGAGATGCTAGAAAGAGGAAGATACGCTTAGCCTAACCTGTCTCCTCTTCTGTATTAGTAGCTAACAACCAGGGGTGATTTTTGCCCCAATCCCCCCAACAGGAGACATTTGGCAATGCCTGGAGACATTTTTGGTTGTCACAACAGGGGAGATCTCCTGACACCTGTGGGCAGAGGCCAGGTATGTTGCTAAACCTCCTACAATACACAAAACAGTCTTCCGCAACAAAGAGTTACATAGCTCAAAATGTCAATAGCGCCAAGGTTGAGAAACCCCCTTCTAGACCGAACAACTCAAAAACACACCTTTGTGCAAGGAGCCCCTTGGGTACCCTAAAGACAGTTTATGGTGGTGTGGGCTTCACTCTGGAGAAACTTCACCTTCACTCTCTCCTGCAGTTCCTGTTAGCAGCCTCAGGATAGGGACAGGGTCAGGACCTTATGCCCTATTTTTACAGGTAGAGCCACTGAGGCAAAAGGGCCTGTGATTTCCCCAAGATCCCAGAGCTAGGAAGTTCTAGAAATGCAATTGAAACCCAGGTCCGTCTGACCCCACGCTCAGCACTGTTTGTGACATGATCCACACTGGTCAGTGTGTCCCAGGCTTTGTACCCGGCAACCCAGCAGAGGCCTGACACCTGTCGAAAGTCCTGAGGGGCATGGGGGAAGCTGGTCAGAGCCTGTTGTCTTAAACATAACCAGGATTTGTTTTAGTTGAGCATGCAAGACGCGCAGTCACATGCATGACTGTCAAGAAGGAAGGAGCTCTTACACTCACAGTCCCCTAGAAGGAGGAGGCACAGCACCCCATGCCACATGCAGGCGGGGGGCACAGGGGAGCACCATGATTGTTCGTAGACAGAGGGAATGATAGGGAGATGTGGGCGAGAGCTTTTATTGTGAATTTGTGGGGAGGAGTGAGCAAGGCAGGGGAAACAGGTTTAGGATTGGTGAGTTTGAATTATTTCAACCGGCCTTGGAGAGTAGGGGCTGTCCCTAGTTGCCTGGTGCCTATCCCTGGGGTGATCAGGGCAGATGGGCAGTGCCCTGCAGTGTGACAGCCCCATATATAGAGGAGGTTGAGCCTGCGTTGGTTGGTTTGCATTCAGAGGGCGTGCTCCAGGCAAGCTCTTTGGTATCTCCAAGTCTTGGCTAACCTAGGAAGGGCATTCCCTCCAGGGCCAGCAAGGCCCAGGGGTCAAAGCATCAGAATACAGACAATGAAAGACATAGTTATGATACCTGTCTAACTCCAAAGCCTCAGCACACTGTTGCTTTCTAACGGTTTTTCAAAATAGAACAGTTTTGTTTCCAATTAAATTTTATGTAAAACCCAATATTTAAGCAGATTAAAAAATTAAAATTACTGCTCTGTTTGATGCGTAGCTGGAAGGTCCTGAACCCTTTGAGCCTCAAAAAAAAGTATCTGAAGTTGGGCATGGTGGCTCACGCCTGTAATCCCAGCACTTTGGAAGGCCAAGGCAAAAGGATCACTTGAGCCCAGGAGTCTGAGACCAGCTTGGGCAACAACATAGTGAGATCTTTACAAAAAAATTTTAAAAATTAGCCAGGCATTGTGGCACACGCCTGTAGTCCCAGCTGCTGGGGAGGCTGAGGTGGGAGGATTGCTTGAGCGCAGTAGGTCGAGGCAGCAGTGAGCCGTGATCGCATCATTGCACTCCAGCCTGAGCAACCGAGTCTCAAGGAGAAAAAAAAAAAGTGTCTGAGGCCTCTCCTTAGGCTGCCTCTTGAAAAGTAATTCTTTTTTTTTTCTGAGACAGTGTCTCACTCTGTCACCCAGGCTGGAGTACAGTGGCGCAATCTTGGCTCACTGCAACCTCTGCCTCCTGGGTTCAAGTGATTCTCCTGCCTCAGCCTCCCAAGTAGCTGAGATTACAGGCGTGCACCACCACACCTGTATTAGTCCGTTTTCACACTGCTGATAAAGACATACCCGAGACTGGGCAATTTACAGAACAAAGAAGTTTAATTGGACTTACAGTTCCATGTAGCTGGGGAAGCCTCACAATCATGATGGAAGGCAAGGAGGAGCAAGTCCCATCTCACATGGATGACAGCAAGCAAAGACAGAATGCAGAAGATGCAAAAGCGGAAACCCCTGATAAAACAATCAGATCTCGTGAAACTTATCAACTACCATGAGAATAGTATGGGGGAACTAACCCCATGATTCAATTATCTCCCACTGGGACTTGTGGGAGTACAATTCTAGATGAGATTTGGGTGGGAACACAGCCAACCCATATCAACACCCTACTATTTTTTGTATTTTTAGTAGAGATGGGGTTTCACCATGTTGGCCAGGCTGGTCTTGAACTCTTGACCTCAAGTCATCCACCCGCCTCAGCCTCTCAAAGTGCTGGGATTATAGGGGTGAGCCACTGTGCCCCTCCGAGAAGTAATTCCCTCACTGGGGTTCTATCGTCCTGCTGCTCCCATTGTCTCGGACTTTGCCGCATGTTGGAAGGAGCCTAGTGAAACAGTCAAAAGCAGGGACCTTGGATTCAGACTCGTGTTTGCATACTTGGTCTGTCACCTCCCTGCTATGTGATCTCATAAAACATACTAATCTCATCATGCCTCGGTGCCCCTTTCTAAAGTGGGGATAATAAGGCCTGTCTCACCAGGTTACTGTCAGGATTCATTACTACATGCAAAGCCCTTAGACTAGTGCCTGGCACATAGTAAGTGCTAAAACAAAAACAAAAAACAAAACTATGATAGATTTTAAATCTAATACAAATATAGTATGTAATAATTATTATATTGTCACTGGAACTATGGATAGTATTCATACAGCTACCACATCTAGTGCTATTACTACTAGTATCACCATTTTTGTTTCTACCTCTCCAAAGACTCCAACTACTACTTCTCCTACTAATGTACTGGCTGGGATAATTATTGTCATCACCACCCTTGGGTATTGCTACCACTCAAGTGTGAAGATGCAGAAAGCGACGTGAGCAATCACTGGGAGGCCATTCCGGACACACTTATCCTGTTTTGCTTGTATCCTGTTTGCACTTCCCTTGCTCTGGGTCTAGGGGGAGTCGTTTATGAAGTCCCTGAGATGTGTGGAGCTGCTGTTGATGTGGTTGTGGAAGTGATGCTACGTTTACGGGATGTTTTCTCTGAGCCTACAGGGTTGGAAATGATCCATTACAGCTATTTGTGGACACTGGACATGTGAATGTCATTGTGAGTTGAGCATGTTGTTGTCTCAGAAGTGCAGAGGGCCTCTGTGCTCCTCAGAATATGGACAGACAGACCTCATTGCCTTTGCTTCTTGATGCGGAATGCATTTGCCACAGGTGGGTTCTTTTCCCTGACACTGTCCCTTGCAGTCCCCGTTTTGGAGATTAGGTTTGGGTTAGCGCGAAGCTCTATCTGAGTCATGCTGGGGTGGAACCACGGTAGCCCCTGTGGAAGAAAATGAGCATCTGAGAAGAGGAATTCAGCCTTTAGAAACATGAGTCTCTATTGAGGGAAAAGGGATCAGGGAAACAACCTATTTGCAAGGAGCAAAGTGGCCCTTGGGCTCCCTCCTTTCCTGAGCCTAGGCTTAACTTGGAGATATTTCACAGCAGACTTTTGAAAGGGTGACCAGTTCATACCAAGCTGCCTTAAATGCTTGGAGCAAAAGCCTATGGGGATTTGCAAATCAACCTCGGGAAGAGAAATTAGCTGTGTCTTGCTCCAAAGCTTGCTCCAAAATAAACACATAAGCTGTGCCGGTGGGGAGAGCGCGGGGCTTTTTTCTTCTTCATTTTAAAAACTCCATGTGTGCATTATTTTAAATAGGCGCCAGCACATGAGGCCCTTTTAACAAGATTGAAAACAGATGGGGCCTTAGGCTGTTCGGTAGCTTTCAGAAACTCACAGGAGAAGTGCTAAGCCATCCTGCATCCCGGCGATGTTCATTTTCTTGTGGAAGCACAAGTCCGGCCAGGCCTCTCATTCCCAGAGAGCACGAGTCTGCTTCCTGCATCAGGTGTGTCAGCCAGGGGAAGGAAATATCTCCTTTCACTGCATTTACCCATGTTTGCGTTTACTTAACCCTTGGGCAGCTTGGGAGAAAAGAGGATTGTGCTAATCTTGGAGCCCTCGTGCTTCTGGAGTTAAAAGCACTGGGCTTAACTTCCTTATTGTAAATCAGATTATGCCCCTCTGTGGGTAGAAAACCATCTCTCCAGAGGTGCCAGTCTCACTCCAAGCCATAGCCAAAGTCCTTCCCAATACCTAAGGGCCCTTCCTGATTAGCCTGCCCTGACCTTGTTCCTGACCCTATTTTCCTGGCTTACTCTGATCCATCCACACGGGCTGTCTTGCTCTTCCTTAAAATCAAACAACAGAAAATAACAAGTGTTGGTGAGAAGGTGGAGAGATTGGAACCTTTGTGCACTGATGTGGGAATGTAGAATGAGGCAGCCACTGTGGAGAACAGTATGGCAGTTCCTTCAAAAATTAAATGTAGAATTACTGTACAATCCAGCAATTCTACTTCTGGGAATTTACCCAGAAGAATTGAAAGCAGGGACTTGAACAGATATTTGTACACCCATGTTCACAGCAGCATGGTTCGCAATAGCCAAAAGGTGGAAACAACCCAGATGTCCATCAGCAGATGAATGGGTGAACAAAATGTGCTATGTCCAAACAATAGAATATTATTCAGCCTCAAAAAAGGAATTCTGGCATATGCTACAATATAGATGAGCCTTGAAAACATGATATTACGTGATAGAAGTCAGACACAAAAGGACAAATGTTATATGATTCCAGTAATCTGAAGTACCTAGAGTAGTCAAATCTATTGAGACACAGTAGGATAGAAATTAGTAGGGGTGGCCGGGTAAGGTGGCTCACACCTGTAATCCCAGCACTTTGGGAGGCTGAGGCAGGTGGATTATTTGAGGTCAGAGTTTGAGACCAGCCTGACCAACATGGTGAAACACTGTCTCTACTAAAAATACAAAAATTAGCTGGGCGTGGTGGTGGGCACCTGTAATCCTAGCTACTTGGGAGGCTGAGGCAGGAGAATCACTTGAACCCAGGAGGTGGAGGTTGCAGTGAGCCAAGATCGTGCCTCTGCATTCTGGCCTGGGCGACAGAACAAGACTCTGTCTCAAAAAAAAAAAAAAAGTTAGTAGGGGCTGGGAGGGGGACAGGTTCTGTATAACATTTTTTGGGGGGGGCGGTATTAGGGTTCTCTACAGGGACAGAACTAATAGGAGATTTTATATATATATATATATATATGTGAATTTATTAAGTAGTATTAACTCACACAATCACAAGTTCACACAATAGGCCATCTGCAATCTGAAGAGCAAGTAAGCCAGTCTGAGTCCCAAAGCTGAAGAACTCGGAGTCCAATGTTAGAGGGCAGGAAGCATCCACCATGGAGAAAAAGATGTAGGCTGAGAGGCTAGGCCAGTCTAGCCTTTTCATGTTCTTCTGCCTGCTTTATATTCACTGGCAGCTGATTAGATGGTGCCCACCCAGATTAAGGGTGAGTCTGCCTTCCCCAGCCCAGTGACTCAAATGTTAATCTCCTTTGGAAACACCCTCACAGACACACCCAGGATCAATAATTTGCATTCTTCAATCCCATCAAGTTGACACTCAGTATTAACCATCACAAGTGGTAATGAAAAAGTTCTGGAGATGGTTAGCGGTGGTGGTTGCACAACACCATGAATGTACTTAATGCCACTAAAATGTACACTTAAAAAAGGATTAAAATGATAAATTTTATGTTGTATATAATTTACCACAATGAAAAACATAAAAATCTTTAAAATATCAAGCAAGTGCATCAAGGCCTTTGCCTGGGCCCCTCATCCCCCAGGTGTCCGCATGGCTCATGCCCTCACTGTATTCAGGTGCTTTGCCCAAATGTCACCTCCTCAGAAATGCTTGCCCCCCACCCCCTATCTGAAATGGCACTTCCATGCACACTTCTCCATCACTTTATCTGCCTCATTTTTCTTTGCAGCATTTAGCATCCTGAGTGCTGAACCCGCTGGCCTTTCAAAGTGTCTGGTGCTTAGCTGGAGCTGTGATAGGAACAGCAGGGTCTATGCATTTGGGGTTCAAAGGTGGCCGTATTCTTGGAGGTCCCAGTAGTAGGAAGTAGTAGGTCCTCACCTGGGGGTGCAGGGCTGTTCCCTGGATGTGCAGACTGGATCATATGGAGGGTAAATGAGATACAGGGAGACAGTAGTTCTAGAACAAGAAGGCGAGGTCTGCACTATGGGTAGCAATGAGAATAGAAAAGGAAGTCTGAGTGCCTTTTTTCCTTCCTACAATCCTGAGAAAGATTTTGGACCTTTAAAATGAAAAGAAAAAAAAAAAAGAAAAGGAAAAAGCATTTGAATTTCTTAGAGCTTTGATGAACAAGATGTTCCTCTCATCACATTATAACTTTGAGTTTTCCATTTGGAAAAAAAAAAAAACATTTACAGAAATATAACTGTACCAGCCCCGCTTCAGCTCCTTCAATATGTCCCCTCACTATGGTCTGCAGAATTAGAATCCACAGTGCCCAGCTCCAGCAGCATCTTCTTACCCCAAACAGCCTCTCTTCCCAGGACTGCTTTCCTCTTGCAGTTTCTGGTTCATCTGTGGTACTACTGAGTGTTAGCCCCCAACAATGGACTGTGCTTCCACATCTTGATCTTAATGCACCCAGAACCCATCCATCAGGAGAGCCAGAGGGCTGCGAGGACACTTTTTCACACACTTTGCAGAGCATTTGGCAGAATGGTGTCTAAGCATGTGGAGCCCAGCTCATAGCAATGGGACGTAAATGTCAAGGAAACATTAACCACTGTTCTTTTCTTTGTATCTAAGCTGTGGTCTTAAAATCTCTGAACATTTGCCCTATCCACTGCAGGTAGCAAAAATTCATTGCAGTTAGCAAAATTTGTTTCTAGGTCTGTCGACCTTCTAAAAGCTCTGGAGGTGGGGAGAGATGAAGCTGTGGTGGTCTCACCATCCTGTTCCCCTTAAAGGCCCCTTTTTCTCCCCTTCGATGAACCTCCTTCCTGTCCTAGGGACATTATTAAAGGCTCTCCCCAACCTTGAAGTCTCCCCTGGCATAGGGCAAAGGGCAATGGATGTTTTACTTTGATTCTCAGGTGCGGTTTTTGTTTTGTTTTGTTTTGTTTTGTTTTGTTTTGTTTTGTTTTGTTTTGTTGGGTGTGGGTACAACTCTCTCAGGAACCCTGAGCAGGAAGGGGCGACTATCAGGACAGAATTAGGGCATGCCTGGTCCTCTGGCCTCCAGTCACCAGAACCCCACCTCGATCCTAGCAAATGTACATCTAGGCTTTTGGGAACAAAACTTTGCCATTAAGAAATTCCTTAAAAATCAGAACAATACATCTAACTGATGATTTTTCTCAAACTTGACTCCCTAACATCTTATATTGCCAAGTGTGATGATGTTGATGAAGAAGGAGGAGGGGGATGAGGAGGAGAATCATCTCCACCATTATCTTCCTTGACAATAGTGGAGATGATGATGTTGGTGATAAGGATAGTAAAGATGCCAACATCTTCCCATCTCATGCAGAATAAAATCCTAAACCCTTGCTGTGACCTGGTCCGTCATCCCCTCTCTGATCTCATCTTCTTTCCTGACCACCTTACTAGCCCTGTTCCAGGCACGCCAATTTTCTTGCTGTTCCTTGAATTCTGTATATATACTCCAGCCTCAGGGTCTTTGCACCTGCTGGTCTCTCTGCCTGGAAAGCCCCCTCCCCCGCCCCTTATTAATAGGTTTTGCTACCTCACTTTGCTCATATCACTGATCAAATTTATTCTTCTCCTGACCCCTTTATTTAACACAAAACTCAACTTCTGGCACTCTGTCTTCTTGCCAGTGTTTCTCTTTCCTCTCCCAATGTATTATTTATATTTATTATTAATGGTCTGCACTAGAATATAAGGTGAGGACAGGGAATTTTTTCTGTTACTTTCACTGCTGTGTCACCAGCCCCTAGCCCTGGCAGAGCAGCTGCTCAATAAGAATGTCCTAAATGAATAAATGAATAAATGGATGCAAACAGAATCAGACTGACCTGAGTTCAAGTCCTTGCTCTCTGGTGCAATAGCTTTGTGATCTTAGCCAAGTCATTTGAACACTCTCTGCTCTCCAGTTTTCTTATCAACTATGAGGAGGCTAATACCCATGCTTCTATCAATGTTGTTGTGATAATCAAATTAATTAGTATAACCTTGATAGCTAACATTCATTACACATTTATTTTTGCCTAAGCACCTTGCTAAGAGCTTTCAAGTGGATTAATTCATTTAATGCTCACAACTGCCCTATGAAGGCACCATAGCCTCTTTTTACAGATGAGAGACTAAGGCATAAGAAGGCTAACTTGCCCAAAGTTGTACAGCAAGGCAGGGGTGGAGATCAGATTCAAACTCGTTTGTTCTGATTCCAGAAAACATTATGTTACATCAAACATTTTGTAAACTGCAAAACACTGCTTTTTATTTTTAAATTCTATTTATTTATTTATTTATTTGAGATAGGGTTTTGCTCTGTTCCTTGGGCTGCAGGGCGATGGTGCAATCATAGCTCACTGCAGCCTTGAACTCGTGGGCTCGAGTGAGCCTTCCGCTTCGAGTCCTAAGTAACTAGGACGATAGGCATGCACCACCACACCTGGCTGATTTTTAAATTTTTTGTAGAGACAGGGTCTCACTATGTTTTCCCAGGCTGGTCTCGAACTCCTGGGCTCAAGCAATCCTCCTGCCTCAGCCTCCCAAAGTGCTGAAGTTACACGTGTGAGCCACTGAGACCAGTCTGATTTTTCAAATACAATGTGGCAAACCCATCCTAATTTTGAATATTCTAATACATGAACATTTAGGAATGTAGGTTTTTATTATTTTATTTTTTTTCTGTGTTTTTGTATTTATTTGGACATTTTTAATGTGTTTATCCCTCCCCACCCTGCCTGTCCACACACACACACACCCCCCCACACACACATTATTCACATGCGTGTGCGCACACACACACTCATTCAATATTCACACACACACAGGCATGCTATGATTTTTCTGGTGGGCCAGGCCTTCACTGAGATGCCGAGTGCTTCTACTGAGCAAGATTTCCTCATCTGGAATGGGCTGCTAGGTGAGTGGGCAGACTCTCAAAGCCTTTTTCGTCTGCAAGGTGAGTCTGAACTGGTGGGAAAGAGCTCAGCCCTGAGATGCCAGCCAAGGAAGTCACTGATCCCCCCCAGGACCAGCAAGCTAAAAATACAGCCTGTGCCGGGAAGTGGA